>NC_000006.12:3847878-3999393 GCF_000001405.40 Homo sapiens | reverse complement strand
TTTTTTCATATTTCCATTTTTAATATTCCACATTATATGGGTAATTTTTTATAATCTGGCTTTCTGCATTTGACCTCATACTAGTTACCAGCTTTTATTTTTTTTAAATAAACAGCTTTGTTGTAAGGTTCATTAAAACAAAACAAAATTTCTTTTTTTAATTGAGTTAGGGTCTCTCTCTGTCCCCCAAGCTGGAGTGCAGTGGTGCGATCTTGGCTAACTGCAACTTCCGCCTTACGAGTTCAAGCAGTTCTTTGCCTCAGCCTCCCAGGTAGCTGAAATTACAGGCACACGCTACCAAGCCTGGCTGATTTTTGTATTTTTAGTAGAGATGGGGTTTCGCCATGTTGGCCAGGCTGGTCTTGAACTCCTGAGCACAAGTGATCCACCCACTTGGGTCCCCCAAAGTGCTGGGATTACAGTCGCGCAACACCACACCTGGCTAATTTTTGTATTTTTAGTAGAGATGGGTTTTCGCCATGTTGGCCAGGCTAGTCTTGAACTCCTGAGCTCAAGTGATTCACCTGCCTTGGCCTCCCAAATTGCTGGGATCACAGGCGTGAGCCACCACACCCAGCGAAAAGAGCAAGTAATTCTTGCAAATTTTTTACCCAAACCTTTAGAATGTGTTCTTTTTTTTTTCTTTTTTTTTTTTTTTTGGTTTTGGGTTTTTTTTTTTTTTTTTTTTTGAGCATTTATGAAATGGCTGTGAACTTCTTCTAACTTCTAACTTTCCAAGTTGTCTCCTTTTGGCCCTAGGAGTAGAATTTTTCTTTAATTCTCAGCTGGTGAGATCTGTTGCCACCACAGTTCAAAATAACGATTAAGTACTGAGGCCAGCCCATGCCTGATCCTTCAGTGATGTTAGGAAGGTGAATGCTTGGCTGTTTGAAAGCCTCCTTATTGTCATTTCCAATCCATTCTCTCTGCTTCTATTCCTTTTCTCCCAAAACATTTCAGTGTTGTCAGTTCATACTCTGGAGTCTTTGGAAAAAGAGATTGTTGTCTTTTTATGAATTTGTCCAAATTTTAGTTGTTTCTGGTTAAGTTTAGACCAAGAGGGATCCATGTCCCTACAGGATTACCCCTATTTCAACCAGTAGATGAGGAATATCCAGCTTTAATTTGTCAGAGCAAAAATCCATTAATGTTTTCTCATTACTCATAAAAAAAAATCCAGCTCCTTACTGTGGCCTATAAACCTCTCCATGATTGGCCCTCCTTAATTTATCTCTTTTAGTCTTGAAGTTTCAGGCACACCTCCTTTTCTTTTATTGAAATTCTCAAAGCCAGGTACAGTGGCTCACCTGAGTTTATTCAAGGCTAATCCGTAATTAGGGAAATAAAGGTTACAGCTGCCTGTTAGTGACTCAGGTCGTATAATCACATTCCTTTAAGGCTCAAAATAACGTTCCAATAGCTTTGATTTTGAATTACTTATTTTCACAAGTTCTATAAAATTACAGAGTTCTCATCTATTTTTGTTGGCAGCTGTTTGCCTAGCAGTTGAAAGTGCTTAGCACATGATAGTATATGATAAACATTTGTTTAATTTATTTCAATATTGTCAGTCCATATTCCAGCTTCTTTGGCAAAGGAGACTGTTGTTTTTATATGAATTTATCCAAATTTTAGTTGTTTCCAGCTAAGTTTAGACCAAGAGCCCCCACAGAATTACTTCCATGTCAACTAGTAGAGGAAGAGCTTTAATTTAGGATTTAAATGCCACACCACAATTATCTAAAGTGACTGAATTGAGCTACTGAATAATAGTCCTTCTAAAGAAGATTTTAGACACACATTTCATTTCTGTTATTGCTGACAAGTGTTTTATTTTACAGAATAAAAGGCATCTTGCCTGGGATAAAATTTCGAAAGGCTGTGTTTTTGTAGCACTTTCTTTTTTGGAAGGATCTCTTTTTAGCTACTCTGTGTCATGGTGATGTTGAGTTCTCTGTTGGAAGCTAGAGTTCCTGGGTTTTTTGATGTTTCTAGGCTTTTGGGTTTTGTTTAAGATTTGTGTTTTGGGAAGGAACATTTCCATGGTTACGCCCATTCCTTCTACCATCCTTGAAAAAACGAGCCAGTAGAGTAATCTGATTCCTGGATTACTACTACACAGATGTCTTTTGTATCTGCCTACACATGAAACTGCTAGGCAAGTTCCATTTCCATGCATTTACTTCCTTCAGTGCTTTTTAAAAATGAAGCACTTTTAAGATTAGGAATGAAAGACTTGGATTGGCAAGTTAAACAGGGATTGGCCTACGTTATGTTAATAGTCTAAACTCAATGTAGGATTAATTTAGAGGTACAGTATATGAAGGGAGAGACTGTTTTGGGAACAACTAAATCGAAGCTTTGAGCAGAATTTGCACACATGTGAGTAATACTATATGCAGAAAGACTGCTGTACTTAAAAATAGTTTTCAGGTTTTTAAATATAAAGTTTCATGTTGGAATAGTAAAATAAAACATATGAACTTTTACTGACATGAAGCAGTAAAATTAACTTTTCCTTGGAACAGCTTGCATGCTCATTGCTGCTCCACACAAACCTAGGTTAAAGATGCCCATGATCTAGCAGTTTTCTTCTCTGAACATTGCAGAGCATTTGCACAGACATGCTTGAATTTACACTCATGAGTCCATTTCAAGTAAGAAGAGGGAGTAAGAGAGGGACCTCCTTCTCAGGGTTAAGGAAGGCCTAAATTATGAAAAAGTAGTGCAGCTTTTTTCTTAAGTTAAAGTAACGGTAAATTTACACCACATTTCTCTATGAATCCAGTATATGAAAAGTTTAATTTGCGTGTTAACTATTGCTGTGCAGACAGCTTGTCAAGTGATGATTTTGACAGCCTGGTGTCTGTCTCCATTCTGCTGGAACATCAGACGCCATTTCTCTTCTTCCTGAGAAAACCACCTCTCATACTTTGGTATCCCTCTAAAGTGTTTCAATTGTAAATTACTACTAATATATAATTACTATTCATTTATAGAAGCTTCTAGCTTAAACATAAAAATATACTAAAAGTGAAACAACCGTAATCTTAACCTCTAGACATAGATTATTTTTCTATGAACACATTAACATATATGTCATAGTTACTATTGTTTTTTACAATAAAAGGCTCATACTATACATACATACAACTTGTTCTGGTATATATTTTGAATCTTCATAATAGCATTTGTAGATATGCTTTATTTTTTGTAGTTTTGTTTTTTTCTTTAGCCATCCTTGCAAATACTATGTATTTTGCTTCCTTAAATCAGTATTTCAGTAGGAAAAATTCTTAGAAATTAAACTGTGAGGGCAAGCAATTGTGAACATTTACATTTTAATAAGTACCAACAAATTACCTTAAAACGTGTACCGATGGATACTCTTAGTAAAATGTAAGAGAGTGATTCACTACATTCTTACTAGCTCAGGCATTATCAATTTTTTTTTATTTTAAATTACTGCCTAAGAAATACAGTCATATATCTTGTTCTTTTATTTTAAATTTCTATTTGAGAAGTTATGCACTTTTGTTTGTTTGTTTTTTGAGACAGAGTCTTACTCTGTCATCCAGGCTGGAGTGCAGTGGCACAATCTCAGCTCACTGCAACCTCTACCTCTCAGGTTCAGGTGATTCTCGTGCCTCAGCCTCCCGAGTAGCTGGGATTACAGGCGCCTGCCACCACGCCTGGCTGAGTTTTGTATTTTCAGTAGAGATGGGGTTTCACCGTGTTGGACCAGCTGGTTTGGAATTCCTGACCTCAGGTGATCCCCCCACTCAGCCTCCCAAAGTGCTGGGATTGCAGGCGTGAGCCACCATGCCTAGCCAGTTACACACTTTTTAATGTGATTATTAATCACCATTATTTCTACTTATTCAAGCTGACTGTTCACATATTTTACTCTTTTTAAAGCATGCATTTTAAATAAATTGATAATAAATGTTTTTGTCAAATATTGCACGTCTTCTCCCCTACATTTATTGAATGCTTACTGCATGCTAGGCTCTGTGCTAAATACTTTACATACATTATTCCATTTAATCCTCACATTAATTTTGGGGAATGTGTTATTTTCATGTTCACACAAGGAAAATGGGTTCAGAGAGGTTAAGGAATTTGCCCAAATTTACAGTTAGTTTATTTTTATTTTTATTTTGAGACAGGGTATGTCTCTATCACCCAGGCTGGAGTGCAGTGGCACGATCCCAGCTCAGTGCAAACTCCGCCTCCTAGGTTCAAGCAATTCTAGTGCCTCAGCCTCCTGAGTGGATGGGACTGTAGGTGCCTGCCACCATACCCAGCTAATTTTTTGTAGAGGCAGGGTTTCACCATGTTGCCCAGGCCTGGTCTTGAATTCCTGAGCTCAAGTGATCTGCCCGCCTCAGCCTCCCAAAGTGCTGGGATTACAGCCACGAGCCACTGTGCCCGCTCCACAGTTTTAGAAGTGGCATTCAAACAGAGCTCAATCACAATAAAAGGCACATCACAAACTATGATAATCCCCCACCTCTTGGATTGTCTTTTATCTCTTAACTTTGTGGAGGGTTTTTGCTTTGATTTTGTTTGTTATGTTATAATGAAGTTTTAAATTGTTAATCATTCCATATGGTGTCTAGGTTTTCCGCCATGATTATAAAGCCCTTCCCTAGCCCCATGTGATACAATTTTCTTTCTTATAATACTTTTATATTTCATTTCTTTTTAAGTCTTTGGTATATCTGACAGCAATTTATGTATGATTCAGATGTATATTTTTTTCCCCAAAGGTCCCAACACCTTTACTGAATAATCTTTTTCCCATAATTTGAGATGACACCTTTATCATACACTTATATGCCCTGTATATTTGAGTCTATATCTGGACTCCCTTCTGGTATAAAGAAGTGCAGTTGACTTTTGTATAACGACCTTATACCTGTCCACCTTGTTAAACCCTCTTACTATTTCTAATATCATGTCTACAGATTCTGATTTTCTGTTAAAATGGTTAATAATTCTGTCTCTCTCTCTTTTTTTTTTTTTTTGACATGGAATTTTGCTCTTATTGCCCAGGCTGGAGTGCAGTGGTACAGTCTTGGCTCACTGCAACCTCTGCCTCCTGGGCTCAAGTGGTTCTCCTGCCTCAGCCTCCCAAGTAGCTGGGATTACAGGCGCCTGCCACTACACCTGGCTAATTTTTGTATTTTTAGTAGAGATGAGGTTTCACCATGTTGGCCAGTCTGGTCTTGAACTCCTGACCTCAGGTGACCCGCCTGTCTCAGCCTCCCAAAGTGCTAGGATCACAGGCGTGAGCCACCGCGCCTGGCCCTTAACATGGTTAATAATTCTCTGATAAAGATTGTTCTAGTCTTTTTCAATCCTTTCTCATCCTTTTGATTCAACTTATTTTTCTTATGTGCTATTGAAGTCCTTCAAGTCTATGTTGTTTTTTTTTATTTCTAAAAATAAAACCAAGAATACCAGAAAACCCTAAGGCTGAAGTAACTGAAAACCAAACTCAAAAATTGATCTGTAGGGTTATTCAGTTACTCTGTTGGTTAGTCACCAGGTCGTGTAAGTGCAAGTCCTAATCAGGAAAAACCAAGACTTTGTGAATTAGGATGGGGACACTCCAGAGGATTCGGAGACCTCCTTGACTCCATGGAGTACTCTGAACTCAATGCCTTGAGCCTCCTCTGCTTGTCAAAGCCTTTCCTTCCTCTTAATCCTCCCGAGGGTGTTTTCCTCCTGACACCAAATGTGTGATGTCCGTTCTAACACCAGCCATTTCTCCAGTTCTCTAGACATCAACCGGATGTCCAATAATTCAATTAAATTCTGATACTGTCTGCCTGCGTTAGCATCCACCCCTACAAGTTAAAGGCTCAGTCCCACAATACTTCCCTACTTCAGATGTCAGCTGTAAATGGGGTGCCCAGGTGATCCACATTTCTGCCCAGGTGACTACAAATTTGGGGGTTCCCATGGCCCCTTCCCCTCAGTTTCTATAATTTGCTAGAATGCCTCACAGAACTCAGCAAAGCCCTGAAGCACTGATTATTCTCATTTTATTATAAAAGATAACAGCTCAGGCCTGGCACGGTGGCTCACACCTATAGTCTCAGTAACTTGGGAGGTTGAGGTGGGAGTATTAGAGCAGGTAGTTAGACGTGAGCAGGGCAGAAGAGGGTCCTTCCACCACCAGGAATGTTAGGCAACCATCAGGTGATGGTCAGGTGGTTGTTAACTGTCTCTTTAAAATAATAATTGGTTGCAGCCAGTGCTAGGGAAAGGCAGTCTCCCAACAGATAGAAAACACCTGAAACTGGTGACTAGCAGCTTCCCAATATGATCTCAGGAGTTGGGTGAGTGGGCTCAAGCATGTGCACTCAAAGGCAAAATGGCAGAGTTTAACGGGTATATGACCTTCCTCTAGGAACATTCAACTTGTAGGAAAGAACGCCTCAATGTGCATTTGTTCAACTTCAGTAAACACACTGTGCATTGGCCCCCTCCTAAGTGCTGGCAGGCCACCGCACATGCAGAATACCAGCATATGAAACCCCAAGTCAGAGGTCAAACTGGGCACTTGAACTCCTCAAGACTCCTGCTTGGCTATCTTCCAAGTGTACCTTACATTCTTTGATTCCTGCTTTAAAACTTTTTAATAAACTTTCACGCCTGCTCTAAAACTTACCTCCATCTCTCTCTCTGCCTTATGCCCTTCAGTCGAACGAATTCTTTCTCCTAAGGAGGCAAGAATTGAGGTTGCTGCAGACTCGTGGATTTGCCACTGCTAACAGGAGGATTACTTGAGCCCAGGAGTTTGCGTCTCCAGTGAGCTATGATGTTATCACTGCACTCCAGCCTGGGCAACAGAGTAGGACCCTGTCTCAAAAAAAAAAAAAAAAAAAAAAAAAAAAAGATACTGCTGAGGAACTGCCAAATGGAAAAAATGCAGAAGAGAAGATATAGGGAGAGGGGCAGAGAGCTTTTACGCCCTCTGTGGGTGCACCAGCCCTCAGTACCTCCAAGTTTTCAACCCGGAAGCTCTCCAAACCCTGTTCTTTAGGAGTTTTTATGGAGGATTTGTTGTGTGGACTTGGATCGATTAAGTTATTGGCCATTGGTGATTAACTCAACTTTCCGTCCCAAGAGATTGGGAGTGGGGCTAGAAGTTCCAGCCTCTAAAGATGCCTAGGTCTTTTATCAATCCACCCTCATCCTGAGGCCATCCAGGCAACCCCAGGCACCAGTCAGCTCATTATCATACAGAAGATAATCTTATCACACGGGAGATTCCAAGGGTTTTAGAAGCCATGTACCTGGAACTGGCACAAAGACCAAATATGTTTTCTTGTGCTTTACCTCTCTTTTAAAAACATGTAACTCCTTGTTATGGGTTGAATTGTGTCCCCTGCTTCACGAATTTCATATGTTGGAGTCTTGACCCCCAGCACCTCAGAATTGTTGATGAAAAGAGTCAAACTCTGTAAAATATTTGAAGAGATTTATTCTGAGCCAAATATGAGTGACCAATGCCCATGACACAGCCCTCACGAGATCCTGAGAACATGTGCCCAGGGTGGTTGGGGAATAGCCTAGTTTTATACATTTTAGGGAGACATGAGACATCAATCAAATACATGTAAGATATACATTGATTTGGTCTGGAAAGGTGTCACAACTCAAAGATGGAGGGTGAGGGGCAGTTCCAGGTCATAGGTAGATTTTAAAATTTTCTGATAGGCAATTGGTTAAAAGAGTTATCAATAGAATGTCTGGGTTTCGATAGGGGTTGTGGAGACCAACTTTTAAATTATGCAAATGAAGCCTCCAGATAGCATGCCTCAGAGAGAATAGACTAAATGTTTCTTATTAGACATAAGTTCTGTGTTGATGTTAAATGCTGGTTGGCTCTTTCTGAATTCCATAAGTGGGGATGGTATAACGAGCCATGTCTGACCCCCCCATTTCCATCATGGCCTGAACCAGTTTTTCCGGTTAACTTTGGAATGCTCTGGCAGAGAGGAGGAGTCCATTCAGATGGCTGACGGATCTTAAGATTTTATTTTTGGTTTACAGAATATAGCCTTATTTAGGGATAAGGTCTGTAAAGAGGGAATCAAGTTAAAATGAGTTCATTATGTAACTGAGTACTCTCATTTTTCAGTTTATTTTTTAATTATTTTCTCCTCTCCCCTTTCCCCCGGCTTATGCCCCCAAAGCATGCCTGCCTCAGAACCTTCACCCTCTAGGAGGGGTTGCCTTGGAACTCCCACCCACCAGGAGGGCATGTCAAAAGCACGCCCACTTGGCCACTTTTATAACTTCTGCCCAGGAAGGCACCAACTCAGCTACCCAGTAGTTAAGGCACTGGGCCAGCAGGGGGACCCCTCGCCCTTGCTCACTCCTTCCCCGGCCTTGGATAAGTGCCTACTTTCTGCTCTGGGAGCAAAACGTCACATGTAAAGGCAGGACTAACGTTCACGACTCTTCCCCAAGCTAGCTTCGGAAGAAACCGCTTTCTTTATGCCAGACCTCGCTCTTGTTAATTGGACTACGCAGGCAGCAAGCAACTAACCCTCTGTTTGGTGACGGTTATGGATGGGCGCCCTAATCCGGTATGACTGCTGTGCTTATAGAAAGGAGAAACTGTCCAGGCGCGGTGGCTCACGTCTGCAATCCCAGCACTTTGGGAGGCACAGGCAGGCGGATCATGAGGTCAGGAGATAAGACCATCCTGGCCAACATGGTGAAACCCTGTCTCTACTAAAAATACAAAAATTAGCTGGGCGTGGTGGCGCGTGCCTGTAGTCCCAGCTACTCGGGATGCTGAGGCAGGAGAATCGCTTGAACCAGGGAGTCAGAGCTTGCAGTGAGCCAAAATCGCGCCACTGCACTCCAGCCCGGTGACAGAGCGAGACTCCGTCTGAAAAAAAAAAAAAAAAAGGAGAAACTTGTACATGGAGATATGCGTAAATGTACAGGGACACAGGAAGAAAATGGCTTTCTACAAGCCAAGGACAGAGGCCTGAAACGGATCCTTGCCTCACAGCCCCCAGAAAGAGCCCACCCTGCCCCAACACCTTGATCTTTGATTCCCAGCCTTCAGAACTGTGAAACAATACATTTCTGTTGTTTAAGCCACTTGGTTACGGCAGCTATAAGAAATTGATACACTTTTTTTTTTTTTTTTTTTTTTTGAGATGGAGTCTCACTCTGTCAGCCGGGCTCTGGAGTGCAGTGGCACGATCTCGTCTCACTGCAACCTCTGCCTCCCTGGTTCAAGCAATTCTCCTGCCTCAGCCTCCCGAGTAGCTGGGATTACAGGCGCCTGCCACTACCGCCAGCTAATTTTTTGTATTTTTAGTAGAGATGGGGTTTCACCATGTTGGCCAGGCTGGTCTTGAACTCCTGATCTTATGATTCGCCCTCCTTGGCCTCCCAAAGTGCTGGGATTGCAGGAGTGAGCCACTGCGCCTGGCCCTAATACACTTTTTTATATGAGGAAGTTACATTGTAAGAGCAAGTAAATATTCCTCTATACATCCCCAACCACTTCCACTGTATATAGACCAGTAGCTAGAGTTAAATCCCTGTATGCCCCAAGGGAAATTACAGATTTAACACAAGAGAAGGCTTACACATCAAAAGACTTGTAAGACTTTGATAATTTATGTCTTCTCTTCCCTGAGATAATTCTTCCAAAGCTTAGCATTCACTGGCTTTTGTTTATCATGCTCATGTCCACTGCCATTTTTTGATGTACTTAATTCATAGGTCCCTTGTTGGCTCTTTAGTCCTCATTATTCATTTGAAAGCTTCTGGACTACCATAAGGCTATCTATGAGATGTTGGTATAGCGCCCTGAACATCTCTCTTATCTTACTTAGTACACTTGTATGACTTTAACTTGTATTTTCCCCACTAGGCCCTGTTTTGTGTGAGGATTCCCAGTGTCTAGCACAATGCCTGGTACATACCATGTGTTTAATACCTAGTTCTTAAAGGAAGAAGGAAGAGAGGAAGAGGAAGGAAATTCTATCCAATAAATGCTATCTAGGAACAATGTGGATTTATCTTTCTCTTTAGTTACTTAGGAGCTACATTAGTATCCTTAGAACTTGTGCTGGAGAGATTAGTGTTGGCAGTTTATTATTTCGTTACCCTTCGAAACTGCATGGGTAATAACAGACTGTGGATAGTCTCACATGCTGTCTCCAAATACTTTCTCCCTAAAACTAGAGCATATCCTCTTAAACACTGGCCTTGTTCGCCACCACCATGGCCCAGAAGCAGGCCCAATAATCCTGGGGAGTGTTCCTGACTGGAACTCTGGGTCAGAAAGGATAAAGATGACTTAATCTCGCAATCCCACTTTCTACTCGGTTCTGATACTCTTGATGTACACATGTTCCTCTGCTAGGTGCTTTTCATTTTTTTGAGGGCCTTCAGTCTTCTGTTCAAGTGTGCATGGTGCTTCTAAGCCTTCTCACTTAGTTTTGAAATTAGCATTCTACTCAGAATAGATAAATGCTGCCAACTTGCAGTTCTTTTGCTTGGCCCAGATTCCCTTATAGTTTGCAGGTAATTTTCAGGGTCTTCAGTATGAGATTATTTTCATTTCCTAGTTTCAACACAGATGGTTTTCTCTTTACTTTTGGTTCATTTCCGTGCATTTTGGGGAAAGGAGATAGATAAATGTGCACTTTTCAGCTACCTTTCTGGACAATATTAGCATTTCCCCTTTACTTCTGAATATCCTTTGGACTCTCCTATATTGGAAAAAGAGGGTGATTTATGACTATTTTAATGGAAAACAAAAATAAATCTATAGACAAGTTGTTAGATATATTAAGAGTTTAACAAGGTGAATATTATAACAGCTATACCTTCACCCAGCTACCCTTGCTGGGCTCTAACTCGCTGTCTCTTTCTCTTGTTATTGTTGTTGTTTTCCCCCATGGGTGAGTTCTTTATGGCAGTCTCCACCATTTCCTCATAATCATTTTCCTTTTGATTTCTATATTCTGACATCCAGTTCCCATCATACTGCGGCAGCTGATCTCTCAAAATAAATTCATTGATTTTTTTTTTTATAATTGCAGTTACATTTTTTCTCCTTTACTTTCCTTGCACACAGGACTGTATTTGATGCTGTTAATTAACCCTTCTTTAAAACTTTGTTTTTTGTTTACTTCTGTTTCTTTACTGACTGTGTACAGTAATCAGAAAAATCAGAAAAAGACCTGATTTTCTCTAAATCAGGCCTTTTTCCCTCAAGGATCTTTGTGGCCATTTCCCCTGGTTTTCCTTGAGGAGAAAACTATCTCTCTACATCTCCCTCTTAACCCAACTTCCACTCCGCTATTTTAATAGTCTACTGGATGCTACGGTGAACAATTTAAAAGACAGAAGGACTGGGTGACAAACGTGAGGGAATTTGGACTGATGTCTGCATGTCTGGCTTGAGTAACAGTAGGGACAGCAGTGCTGTTTCACATATACAAGGAACATGAGGGAGAAAAGGGCTCAAGAGGATCATTTTGATTACAACAAACAGGAACAATGGAAACCACCTGACACCAGTCCCAAACCACCAGTGACATTAGTCCAACCACTTTAAGAGAGTCTGAACTAGGTAGAAAGGCAAACTGATAGAGGCTCTCGGGAAAGGAGTAACTACTGAGAAGTCAGCAAGAGAAAAAGTAACTTGACAACACTGTTTTCAAACCATTGCAGCTACCTGAAAAGATCCCCTTTCCTGCTCTGGGAGGCTGTTCCATCTTCAGCATCAGCACTTTATCACAGAAGGCCTAAGCAGGGGAGAATGTTGCCACAGAAGCCAAAGAGGGAAAGTCTTAGTGAAGAGTCAAGAAAGAAAAGTCTTGGAGAAATACTTTTCGGTATGGCAGTGAGGAGTGTGGTGGCCTTCTTGAGAGCACTCTCACTGCCTTGGTGATAGGGGTCATTTTGCAGCATGTTGGCTGCAGAGAAGGCAACCTAAAGAAGGCATTCATGAAATGCAGCCTGCTTCTTGAACGAATCTGGATGAAAGGCAGGAGAATGCATGGCAGCTGGAGGAAAGCCAGGATGCAGGAGGGCATTCCTTAGGGCAGTAAAGTGGACGTACATGCGGGGTTAGAGAGCAACCCAGAAGCAGGAAGCATGAGCCAGAGTCCAGGGTGCTTTGGAAAGATTTAGATAGGGGGTAGGGCCCATCCTTCTCTGTCATAGGAAGCAGGATGTAAATGGAGTTTCTCTGGTTGGCTGGAGGTTGAGGAAGTTTGCTTCCTATGGCTTCTATTCTCATCTACTGAAATGTGAGAAGAGGCAGTGGGAATGGAAAAGCTACCATGGGAGTGAGAGGAGAAACTCAAGATAAATGAAGGAATTTCTGCAAGCAGTGTGGAAAGCTGAACTGAGGCTGGAGCCATGCATTTGGGGTGACATCAGATCTTCAGCGGAGTGCTTTTTTTTTTTCCAGCTTCACTTAATAATGTGAATAAAGATGATTTTGGTATAGGAATTTGCAGGATGGCTAATAGTGGAAAACAAAGGAAAATGGGGTAATAATAGAGCCTGCCATTTCAGAGAGTGATCAAAGTGACTCACAGTGAGATCTAGACTAGAGAGGGCAGAAATGAAAGGACCAAAGAGGAGAAGATGATCTCAGTGGAGATAAAAGGTAGATGGACGAGGAAAACTAGAGAGCTAGAAGGTTGTGATTGGAGATCAGGATGATGACATTTAAGAGCCAGAGGTGAAGTTTAAAAATAGGGATTGTGAGCTGTCCATGTTGGCACATGCCTATAGTCCCAGCTACTATGGAGGCTGGGCGGGGAGGATCACTTGAGCCCAGGTGTTTGAGGGTACAGTGAGCCATGCTCATGCCACTGCCCTCCAGCTTGGGCGATAGAGCAAGACCCCAACTCTAAAAAAAAAAAAAAAGAAGGAAAAATAGGGATTGTGCAATAGAATCAAACACAGAGGTCACTGGATAATAACAAACAGTAGTTTATGAGTAGTTTTTGTGTAGCTTTGTTTTTTTGATTTTTGTTTTTTTGTTTTTTGTTTGTTTGTTTTTTGAGACAGAGTCTCACTCTGTCACCAGGCTGGAGTGCAGTGGCACAATCTTGGCTCACTGCAACCTCTGCCTCCCGGGTTCAAGTGATTCTCCTGCCTCAGCCTCCCGAGTAGCTGGGACTACAGGCATGTGCCACCACGCCCAGCTAATTTTTATATTTTTAGTAGAGATGGGGTTTCACCATGTTGGCCAGGATGGTCTCGATCTCTTGACCTCGTGATCCGCCCACCTTGGCCTCCCGAAGTGCTAGGATTACAGGTGTGAGCCACTGCGCCCAGCCTTTGTGTAGCTTTTTGAGCAGCAACACAATAGTGGATAGAGCTGTAAAGAACACAAGGAGAGGAAGGGAAAATTCAAACAGCTGCGGCTTGTTGGTCTTTTAATGCCTGGTTCTTGATTTTGAATCCACTGCTGTCTTTACAGGAGGGCACTAATTTCCAGCGAAGAAGTGTAAGTTGCTTTGATCGTATCTCATTCTTACAAAATGTAGACTCACCAATGGCTGTTGTTTTTTTCAGTGGGCCTAATGCATATAGCTTCCAGATGTAAAGGTAAAGTACTCCAGTGGATGATTCATTTTAAATTAGAAATTAGCTTAAAGGCTAATAAAAGTTGAAAATAAAATTTATCTCAAACCTAGTTAGGTGTTTTTTCTTTTTGGCAAGAGAAAATGGATATGAGGAAAGTATTCTTCCTGTAGTGGGAGATCAGGGGCAATATGGTGATACCATAGCCATGGCACAGATAAAGTGGGATCTAATAATTTAGTTAATTTTATCTGTTTATTTGACTGTAGGTACTTGAGCATATAGTTGTTTTGTTGTTGTTGTTGTCATTTTTTTAAGAAAAAGCATCGGTGTTCTTTTGTTTTGTTTTGTTTTGTTTTTTTGAGAGAGAGAGGTCTCGCTGTGTTGCCCAGGTTGGTCTTGTACTCCTGGCTTCAAGTGGTTCTCCCACCTTGGTCTCCCAAAGTGTTGGAGTTACAGGTGTGAGCCACTGCACCCAGTCAAGTTTTCCTTCTTAAGTGATAAGAGTGATACTTAGAAAGATACTCACTTGGAAGAAGAGAAATTAAAAATTTTAGCACTTTTTGGCCACCTAAAATAATTGCATGGAAGAGTGACCAAGAAAAACGCTGAAAAAAACTTTTCTTTGGGAAAATATATATTCCTTATATTCCTTAAAGCAAAAATGAATAGAGAAAAATTGGCACCCCTGTTGTGTTAGAAACTATTTGAAAAATGATGAATTGTAAATATTGTCAATTTCAATACTCTGGTTTTGATTTAAAGTTTGAAATCGAGATTTTGTGATGGAATGATTTCTTCTGTTTGTATGGTAGTTAAAGCTTGCTTATTACCACCATACTAGAAACTTGGCCGTAAACAGGAATCTATGTGCCTGGGCAGAAACTACCCCATAAACACGTTGTTATTTTAAAATCTTAAAGGAGAGAGGATATCAAAGTATATTCTTTATCATTTTCTCTTAGAAAATCTGACATTGTGTTTTTGGACTAGTAAGTAGAATAGATATTTAGCAGGAAATTTATATGTAGGCCTTTGGGCTTCAAAAATACTTATCCCTGTGATCCTTTGGGCGTATCTATGATGTCATGATGTTGACGGTGTCAGCATAGTTTATTTTGTCACATTTGTGCTTTCATGAACATAAAACCTTTAATTCGTTTTCTTTAAAAGGTACAGCAGCACCATCTTAGTTAAGCAGAACAAGTTTCACTTCATGTGACTCAATCAATGAAGGAAAATACAACTTTTGATAAAGACACCAGTGAGCATTTTATTGATTAATGGGATGCGTTATTTAGCTTTATGCTTGCAGACAGGCTCAAGATTAGATCTTAGTACATTGGGAAAAACTTCAGTTATACAACATGTCCTAACTTTTGTTGTGTTGACATTCAAGCTAGAGTTTAATACTCCTCTGATGAAGGTATTAAATAATGTAGGTTTCTAAGCTGTATGCAACTAAAGCATATTTGCTTCATGACCAACATCTATATGCTGTGATGTTATCCAGTGAGTGAAACACAGGTCAACTCTACACGAAGCCTTTTTTTGTATTCCTATTTTGTCTTCTCCATCTCTCCTTTCTTATTATAGCATATTTTTTTCACTCTAAGGAAAGAACATTTATGCAGGGCTTGCTTACCCCAACAAAGCATAGCACAGGCAGGGCTGACACAAAATCAACGGGAGAAGTTTGAAAAAAGAGAACTGCTGGGATTAAATGTTCAGTGATTTACTTGTTGTATTAGTCCATTTTCATGCTGCTGATGAAGACATACCCAAGACTGGGCAATTTACAAAACAAAGAGGTTTATTGAACTTACAATTCCACATGGCTGAGGAGGCCTCACAATCATAGTGGAAGACAAAGAGGAGCAAGTCACATCGTATGTGGATGGCAGGAGGCAAAAAGAGAGCTTCTGCAGAGAAACCCCCATTTTTAAAACCATCAGATCTCATGAGACTCATTCACTATTAGGAGAACAGCACAGGAAAGACCCACCCCCATAATTAAATCACCTCCCACCGGGTTCCTCCCACAGACATGTGGGAATCATGGGAGTTACAATTCAAGATGAGATTTGGGTGGGGACACAGCCAAACCATATCACTTGTTGAATGCACTTGGATTGTACGGAGTGGGGCTGAGCTGCTGATGTGTGTGCTTCATCCACTTTGGGGCAATTTTCTTATTGTATAAACTGAATCATGCGCCTGTCCTCATTTGGCTTCACGTTAGAACCAAAAGATGAGAGATATGTGCCCTTTAAATGGGCTTTTAGTCACATTTTATAACATAATAAATCTAATTTTCAATGAATATACCAACGTATATATCTAGAATAAGCCATTTGCTCAGGAAAACATATGTCAACATACTTATATGCAGTAAACGCCAACTGAAGCTTAACTTTTTCTAACAATTCTGAAGTCTCAGAACATTTACTACCTCTTTTTAGGAATTGCTTCCAGAGCCATAAGCACATTTTTATAAATATTGCCAACAGTGATATAATATCTTCATCCATTAACATTAAATTGAATTTTTTGCAAATGATCAAAAGGTCATTCCGAGTAAATTCTGTTGTATAGTGCAGATGATCAAGCTGAGTATTTGCCATGTTTTTATTTTAGAAAAGAGATGTTGCTATAACATAAGTAAATAGATTCTCGTATGTGGCAGATAAATTTACTTGTAATCTGCTCTAGAGTGAAATTATTTTTTACATATAAGCATTGTCATCATTCTAAGGATTATTGAATAATGAATATAAAATGTTCTTGTGTATTTGTGTATGTGTATATAATTTTTTGAAAGTTTCTTTATCCTATTGACCCTTCTCATAAACAGTAGCATATATATATTATATGTAGTAGAATTTATATAGGAACATTGTCTTTTTCCCAGTAATGCTGATTCTAAACTAGATTATGTAAATTTCATGTAACATGACATTAAGAATAGTGGGGTGCTAAAGATATTTAGAAATGATTTCCAAAATTGTTGTATTTCTAACATAGAAGGATATTGTCATTTTAAAATAATGTAAAGAAAAAATGCCCCAAACTATCTCTTTAATAAAGTTTTTTTTTAAAATAAAAAACCATTTGTTCAACACTTTATAATGTATATGTTATTTCTCATACCTGGTGTTTTTTTTCATAACAACTAGAGAAAATTGCTATTATCATTATTCCCATTTGAAGAGGAGCCTATGAAGTTTCATTAGAGGTAAATCATCTTGCTCAAGATCACAGAGCAGTAAGTGTTGGAACTGGAATAAACCTAGATTGTCTGACTCCAAATCTGTGCGTGTGTGTTTAATGTTTTAACTTTTATTTTAAAAGTTCAGGGTACATGTGCAGGTTTGTTACACAGGTTAACTCGTGACTCGGGGGTTTGGTGTACAGATATTTTGTCACCCAGGTACTAAGCATAATGCCCGACAGTTTTTTTTTTTCCCTGAGCCTCTCCCATCTCCCATTTTCCTCCCTCAAGTAGGCTCCAATGTCTGTTGTTCCCCTCTTTCAGTCCATGTGTTCTCATCATTTAGCTCCCACTTGTAAGTAAGAACATACAATATTTGGTTTCCTGTTGCTGTGTTAGTTTTCTAAGGATAATGGCCTCCAGTTCCATCCATGTTCCTGTAAAGGACATTGTCTCATTCTTTTTTATGGCTGCATAGTATTCCATGGTATATATATACTACATTTTCTTTATCCAGTCTACTGTTGATGGGCATTAGGTTGATTCCAGGTCTTTGCTGTTATGAATAGTGCTGCAGTAAACAGACAAGTGCATGTGTCTTTATGATAGAATGCAAATCCTGTGGGTTTTTTAATAAGATAATTTATATGTGAATACTTTGCAGTAGGAAAATGGAGTATAAATCAAAGAGCATTTGACAAGATCGAGTCCTGGCTCTGTCCCTGAGTAGCTCTGTGATCTTAGGCAGTTTATTTCATCTACTTTCTTGTGCCTTAAAGTTAAAAGACAATAAACTTGGAGAAAATATTTGCATCATATGTAACAGATAAAAGATTAACATCCAGAACACATAGCCAATTCCTAAAGACAAATAGTGCAACAGGCTGTGCAATTTAACCGTATAAGGTAAAACAACTAAGGAACACATGAGTGAAAGCATAGAGAAAAGCTGAGGCAGGAAATGTTACCAGGCACCTGAGAGAAGCTGTTTCTCATGACTGAATGCTCATTTAACATGTCAGTTTGTTAACAAGGCAAAAAGAAAATACACTGTGGAACAAAGTTTTCATCATGTGACAAAAAACAACATGCCCATTCTTCAAAAACAAATTTCCTTAGGACTTGATATGGTCTGGCTCTGTGACCCCACCCAAATCTCATCTTGAATTGGAATTGGAATTGGAATCCCCACGTGTTGGGGGAGAGACCTCATGGGAGGTGATTAGATCGTGGGGGCAGTTCCCCCGTGCTGTTCTTATGATAGTGAGTGAGTCTCATGAGATCTTTGGTTTTGTACATGTCTGGCATTTCTTCTGCTGGCACTTTTCTCTCCTGATGCCATGTGAAGAAGGACATATTTGCTTCTCCTTGTGCCATAACTGTAAGTTTCCTGAGGCCTCCATGCAGAACTGTGAGCCAAATAAACCTCTTTCCTTTCCAATTACCCAGTGTTGGGCAGTTTTTTACAGCAGTGTGAGAACAGACTAATACAGGACTCGGTAGGAGGGATTTAGCATTTGGTGATTTGGATAGGAAATATTGATTTCCTGATACAGTGGATGACATCTTCAACAGTGCATTTCCTCAGACATGGGCAACTCAGGTGGATGCTCATCTTATCCTTGTTTTTAATTTCAAATTTATGTATTCCTTTAATAAAATTAACATATAATCAAGGATTTAAGAAATATCTATCAGTACAGAAAGGCCCCAATCTTCCCTGCCAGTATTCACAGCTCCACAGACATAAATACTTTAAATGTTTTTGGGTTATGTCTTCTCATAGTTATTTCCATAGCTTCCAATGATGACATGTGTTTGCTGTGATTTTTTGATTTATCCATATTAATAATTTCTACTGGGGCTTTCTGCTCTGAGAGATTCCATAGTGAATGAGCTGGTGTCTCAGGCTTTAAACAATCATTCATGCTCTTTCTTCCACCTCTGTGGAGGCCACGTTGGACTGTGACATTAGTGAGAAATAAACCCTTATTATGCTAAGCCACTGAGATTTGGGGGTTGTTTGTTAACACAACATAGCCTAATTTACCCTGACTACTAAACTGCCCAATTTCCTCACCAGTGAAGCTAGCCTCACTGGTGAGGAATAAACTCTATAGTGCCTCACTCTTAAATATAAATGCATAAGCAAGATTCATCAGATATTTGAGGAAAGTGTTCACATGAAGAACAGACTCTTAATCAGAAGCAGAGGAACTCATAGGTAACAGAGACAATGCAACGAATAGAAGAAAACATTTGTTTTAAAAGCCGGGTGCGGTGGCTCACGCCTGTAATCCCAGCACTTTGGGAGGCCAAGATGGGTGATCACCTGAGGTCAGGAGTTCAAGACCAGCCTGGCCAACCTGGTGAAACCCCATCTCTACTAAAAAATACAAAAATTAGCTAGGTGTGGTGGCATGCATCTGTAGTCCCAGCTGATAGGGAGGCTGAGGTAGGAGGATCACTTGAACCCAGGAGGCGGAGTTGCAGTGAGCCGCAATCAAGCCACTGCACTCCAGCCTAGGCAGCAGAGCGAGATCCTGTCTCCAAAAAAAAAAAAAAAAAAGAAAACATTTGTTTTAAAATTAAAATCTGCAAAGATAAGGAAAGATATTAAACCTATAAAACAAGAAGAAGGTGCTATAGAAAAGAAACAATGAGAGAACAAGAAAGAACTTTTAGAAATAAATAATAGAGTAGAGACTAAGATAAATAAATAGATATGCAAATGTTCATAGCAGTTTTATTTATAATAGTTCCAAACTGGAAACAACCCAAATGTTCTGTAATGAGTGAATGATTAAACAAATTGTAGTACATTTATACTGTGGAAATACTACTAACAGTAAAAACAGAAAAACAACACACACATAGCTTAGAAGAAATTATGCTGAGTGAAAAAAAGCCAATCTTAAGCATGTTGCGTGATTTCATCTATGCAACATTGATGAAACATCATTTTTGAAATGGAGAACAGATTACTGGTTGTGAGGGATTAGGAATGGGGGAAGAGGGAATAGGTATGTTCATAAAGTGGTAACATGCGGGACTCTTACGGCTATGGTACTGTTGTGTATCTTGATTGTGATGGTGGCTATCCAAGACAACACAAGTGATAAAATTGCAAAAAGTTATGCCAAACACACACGGGCATGTGTAACTTGTGAAATCTGAATGAGCTCTGTAGATTGTACCAATTTCAGTTTTTTTCTAGTAGCTGTATGTTTAATATTGCTGTAAAGATACACTTTTTTATACAGTTATTGTTAATAATTTGAAGATGTTTATTGCATTCTATTTTTAGTGGGAAAACATGTAACATACTTTTATTTAGCACGACATTGTGAAATACAAAAAACATGTAACTGAGTAAGCAGGATTTTTCTATTCCTAGCCCATTTCTGAGGACTAAATCATGAACTGCTCCCAATGTAATTAAGTATTTCTTGCAATAGTTGGGCACCAAGTTTAAGATTTATTAATTTTCTCCTCTCAGTATAGGCAGCAATTCACCATTTTCTTTCAGCTCTTTCACAATATCCAATCCTCCCACCAGCTCCCCTTTCACATACAGCTGAGGGTATGTTGGCCAATTTGAGTAAGCTTTTAATCCTTGCCGATCTCCTTCATCCTCCAATATATCGAATGTTTCATATTCACCACCAGTACTATTTAGTATTTCCAGAATTTGTTTGCTGAATCCACATTTTGCTTCCTGTTTGTTTCCTTTCATAAAGAGCATCATAGAAGCTTCATTTGTCAGCACTTTGAGCCTTTCCTCTAATTTGGGAGCTTTGGGACAAATTATATCTAGTTCTTCAGATGCGTGTATCTCCTTAATTATATCAAGTCCTCCTATGAGCTCTCCAGAAACGTAGAGCTGAGGATAGGTAGGCCAATTGGAATAGGCTTTGAGCCCCTGTCGAACCTCTTGATCTAAAGACATCAAAACTGCTAAACTAAATATTATGTTTGTGAACAATTTCCACCATCTGCTTGCTGAAACCACAGAGTGGTTCTTGAGGAGTTCCTTTCATAAACAGCATGCAGGGGGCAGCATGAGTCAGTTTCTGTAAGCGAAGGTTGAGATCTTCTTTAAGATGTTCGTCAGTGCTGGGTGGGAAGGAGCCACTAGATGCATGTCGCTGAGCTTTTTTGGTCTTTAAGATGTTCATCAGTGCTGGGTGGGAAGGAGCCACTAGATGTCGCTGAGCTTTTTTGGTCAACTCTGGGATGTGTGCACCATCTAATCGGTCAATTTTCTGAGAATTATTGAAAAACAGAAAAGTGGGAACAGAGCCAATTTCATATTTTTCAGATACTTCAGGAACACCTTCAGCTTCCAACTTCACAAATGAAACTTGAGGGTGTTCTTTAGCTAACTCTGCCATAACTTCGTTCATCTGTGCACATTGTGGACCACAAGGAGGGACTTGGCTTTGAGGCGCAGCAGCTCCTCAAACTGGCCGGCTGAGCTGACCTCTTCTACAGCTGCTGCAGCCGCCTTGCTGCCCCTGCCACCGTGCTGCCGCCACCACCAATTTCAATTTTTCATTTTCGATATTATGCTATAGTCGTTCAGGATGTTAACAGTGAGGGAGTCTGGGGGGGCGGTGCATGAGACATCCCAGTACCTTTTTTTGAATTTTGAAATAATATTTCCTGTGAATCTATAATTATTTAAAAATAAAAAGCTTTAAAAATCTTCAAATAAATAAGCAGATACTTTGGAAGATAAAGTCAATAACATATCCCAGAAAGAACAAAAAAGGCAGTGTGGAGGACAGAAGGAGAGAAGGGAAGGGAAAAGATAAGAAAATTAGAGAATCAACTCAGAGGTGCATGATATTAGGAATTCCAGAGAGAACAGAGTAAACAAAGGAGAAGAAACTAAAATAATAAAAATCTACACGAACTTGAGAACATGTGCTTTTGTACAGAAAGGGCTTCCTGAGTGCCCATTGCAGTGATGCAGAAAGGCCCAGCACATCGGAATGACCTTTCAGAACACTGAGAGGCAAGGAGAACATCTGTGCTGGATTGCCTCTTGTCAACCTGATGACACCACCGTTCTTCTGAGGTTGGGAACTATACTTCCCAGAATTCTGTTCCCAAGGTGGCAGGGATGGAGCTGAGCTTAGGCTCGGTGAAAGTCTGATTTGCAAATGGCTCCTGCAGGGTGCCCAGCCTGCCAACAGCAGAGACAAACATTGAGCCCATGATGTGGCACTGTTATTTGGGGGAATCAACAGTTTAAGTAACGTGGACCATTTCCATCTTGCCAGAAGCACTGCTTTGTTCTCACTGGAGATGGATGGATTGCCCTCCCTGTCCACAGTGGTTCCTCCAAAATGGTCATCTCTGGACTTACTTACAGAATACCTAATGTATGATAGTGGCACTCTTCCTAGCTTTGCTTCTGACAAGGAACTGATTTCACAGCAAATGAAGTGCAGCAATGTGCTCACGAAAGCATGATGTTGTGAATGCCTTTATTTGGAATTCACTGGTCTTACCATGTTTGCCATCATCCTGAAGCTTGGCTTGATAGAGTGGCAGAATGGGCTTTTGAAGATTCAGTTATGGTGCCAGTTGATAAAATAACTTTGTGGAGCTGATTTAGTACCCGATGAGATGCAGAACATACTCCGAATCAGTGACTCATTTATGATGTAGTTTCCCCCACAGCAAAGATACGAAGTTTTAAAAATCAAGGAATGCAAATGGGAGTAGTGTCTTTTACTGTACATCTAATGATCTACCAAAGTTTTGGCTTTTTTATCCCCACAACATTAAACTCTGCTAGTTTAGAGGTCTGGGTTTCCAGGGCAGGAATACTTCCACCAGGGAACACAACAGTGAGTCCATTTAACAGGAATCTGAGACTCTCATCTGGTCACTTTGTCAGACAAATGTTTTCTTTGCTAGATGGGACAACTGATCTTGATTATCAAGGGTAAATTGGTTGGCTACTGCACAATGGAGGCAAGGAGTACCTGGGCTCCAGGAGATCCTCCTGGTAATCTGGCACTCCCATGCTCTGTAGTAAAAGTTAGAGAAAACTATAGCAACCAGAACAAGCAGAACAATGTCGCACAGAAACTTCAAGAATAAAGATTTAGGTCATCATACTAGACCAAAAAACAAATTAAAAAACTGACTGGGCTGGGCACTGTGGCTCACACCTGTAATCCTAGCACTTTGGGAGGCCAAGGTGGGCGGATCACTTGAGATCAGGGGTTCCAAACCAGCCTGGCCAACATGATGAAACCCCGTCTCTACTAAAAATACAAAAAAAATTATCCAGGCATGGTGGTGGGCACCTGTAATCCCAGCTACTCCAGAAGCTGAGGAAGGAGAATCACTTGAACCCAGGAGGCAGAGGTTGCAGTGAGCCGAGATCACGCCACTGCACTCCAGCCTGGGTGACAGAGCAAGGCTCTGTCTCAAAAAACAAAAAACAAACAAAAAAAAAACAAAAAAAACTGGCTGAGGTGCTTGCTGGGGACCAGTGTGATAGGAAATGAGTGGTGGGAGAAGGGAATTACACATACCAATTACAGCCATGTGACCAGTTCCAGAAACAAGTACTCTAGTCATTAGAGATATTTTCTTTATTGCTTAGATATGGACATTTGTATACATAAACTGATATTTTTCTTTTTTTTCTCTCCCATTCCAATACCCTCTAATAGTATCAGTATATGAATCATGGTTACTCGTATGGTCCAGTTTTAAGTTATAGGATAGCAAGATAAGATTGTGAATCAGAAGATAAACATTTATTCACAGATGGATAAAGTGGAACTCTGGGTTTCTTCTTTTAGGTTTGGTTGTATGAAGAATCATTGAATCATATAATGTAAAAGCATAATGTTGCTAATATCTTTATTTGGAAGTTAAAGATTAAAAATAGGGTGTGTGGATGCCGAGCTGATGAAGGAGTAGACTCTGCTGGATTATCTGGTGTTAGCACAACTCTCACTCATTTTTAAGGCTGAGAGCTACATTTTCCAGAATGGTTTCCTTTTCTATGTGGTTTTTGGTTAGAGTATGCTTGTGAGAGAAACTTGTATGAGATTTGGAAGATGGAAGTGAATCAGGGGCAGCTAAATGTGCAGGTAGGCAAGAGCTTCACAGTGGCTTCCTGGCAAACTCTTGAGAGGATAGTTGGTGGAAGCTTCTCAGAGATTCCTGAGAATTTCGGTAAGGTTTTGAGAACCACCTCTCCTCAATGATTCAGACTGAGATGTTTAGCATAGATTTCTCTGATTTTTGGTGACAGATCCAGTGACCTTTACTCCTTCAGCTCTTCCAATAGTCATGAAAGATCCTAATTTTATATTAATTTCCTTATCCACAGAATGTAGGCACAGTATGGTGTTGAACACCTGTAGTCCTAGCTACTTAGGAGGCTGAGGCAGGAGGATCATGTGAGTCCAGGAGTTCAAGACCAGCTTGGGCAAAGTAGTAAGATCCTGTCTCTTAAAAGAAAGAAGATGACAGAATACATAAAATGACTTCTTTTTATTTTGTAGTACACTGACTGATACAAGATTCTAAAAGCTTCCAGAGAGAATAAAAGATTGCATACAGAGAATGAGAAGTCAGCATGGCATTGAATGTATCAACAGTAACTTAAGCCAGATGAAAATGAAGCCAAGCCTTTATAATTCTGAGGGAAATTGATTTCTAAGACAGAATTCTGTATCCAGCTTAGTCAATGGTGAGGGTAAAACAAAGACATTTACAGACATGAAAAGTTTCAGGATCTTATGTCTACTTCCCTCATGAAGCAATTGAAGGATATGCAACATTAAAATTAGGAAATGAGCCTAAGAACCTAAGGAACCTAAGGGATTTGGAAAACAAGGAAGCCAATACGGGAGAGAAGAGAATTCACAGGATGATGGTTGAGTGAATTTCCAGTATGGAAGTTGTGCAATGGGCCTGAGGACCAGGCAAGGCTGGGCAGTAGGATGGAAAGCTGTTGGGGAAGGCTGGGCACAGTGGCTCACGCCTGTAATCCCAGCATTTTGGGAGGCTGAGGCTGGCGGATCACGAGGTCAGGAGTTCGAGACCGGCCTGGCCAACATGGTGAAACCCTGTTTCTACTAAAAATACAAAAAAATTAGCCAGGCGTGGTGGCACGCACCTGTAATCCCAGCTACTTGGAAGGCTGAGGCAGGTGAATCGCCTGAACCTGGGAGGCGGAGCTTGCAGTGAGCCAAGATTGCGCTACTGAGCTCTGGCCTGGGACAGAGCAAGACTCTGTCTCAAAAAAAAAAAAGCTGCTGGGGCGATGTGGCCCAGGGAAACAAACATGTGGGATCAGTGGACCCGATGAGTTCCACCACATTAAGAGGAGTTCTTCAGCTCTATCAGAGAGTTTAGGAAACATTTGTAAGAGTACCTAGAAAATGAAGCAAATGAAAAAATGAGATAATTTTTAACTCCTGGAAAAAACAAATGTTGTACAAGAAAGGGAAATAGAACCATACTATATTACGTAGCTCATCAGTGAATGGTACTGTCAACAAAAAGAGTCAAACTGTACAATATTTGAAGAGATTTATTCTGAGCCAAATATGAGTGACCATGGCCTGTGACAGCCCTCAGGAGACCCTGAGAACATGTGCCCAAGGTGGTTGGAGAGCAGCTTGGTTTTACACATTTTAGGGAGGCATGAGACATCAATCAAATACATTCAATAAATACGTTGGTTTGGTCCAGAAAGGCGGGACAACTCAAAGCTGGAGTGGGGGTGTCCAGGCTATAGTTAAATTTAAACATTTTCTGGTTGACAATTGGCTGAGTTTGTTAAAGACCTGGGATCCGTAGAAAGGAAATGTCCAGGTTAAGATAAGACTTTGGAGACTAAGGTTCTTTTGAAGTCTTATAGTGGCTGCCCTTAGAGACAATAGATGGCAAATGTTTCCTATCCAGATCTTTAAAAGGTGCTATTTTTTTCTTTTCTTTCTTTTTTTTTTTTTTTTTTTTTTTTAGACACAGTTTCGCTGCTGTCGCCCAGGCTAGAGTGCAATGGCTTGATCTTGGCTCACTGCAACCTCCACCTTCTGGGTTCAAGTGATCCTCTTGCCTCAGCCTCCTGAGTAGCTGGGATTACAGACATGCACCACTATGCCTGGCTAATTTTTGTATTTTTAGTAGAGACGGGCTTTCACCATGTTGGCCAGGCTGGTCTCAAATTCCTGACCTCAGGTGATCCACCCGCCTCCACCTCCCACAGGGCTGGGATCATAGGCATGAGCCACTGTGCCCACGGAGATTCTTTACAGATGCAGATTTTCCCTCAGGAAGGACAGCTTTGTAGGGCCATTTTGAGATATGGCAAAGAAACATGTTTTGGGGTAAAATATTTTTATTTTCTTTCTTGTCTCCTAATGTTATGCCAGAGTCAGGTTGGAAAGTAAGTCATGGTATATATATGGAGTTAAATAAACCCCACTGATGAGAATTTATGGTTTGTAGGGCATGACTCCCCAGACCCCTTAGATAGGAATTTGGGCAAGATAAAAAAAGTCAGAGCATAGTCCTCAGTGTTTATATAGTCATAACAATATAAGTATTAGATTTCAATTTAATCAAGAATTGGGATACAACTGTACTAGAAGAGTTCTTGTATGTAGGTAAGGTGTGTGATGTTTTATAAGAGTACTAAATTCTTATGCTTCATCAGAAGTCAGCATATAATATTTAAAATAAGCAAGAAATGGAAATTAAAGAATATTAGTTAGAAATATGGAGATAAATTTCAGAAGAAACAGCTAAAAATGGCCAGGCATGGTGGCTTATGCCTGTAATCCCAGCACTTTGGGAGGCCGAGGCAGGTGGATCACCTGATGTCAGGAGTTCGAGACCAGCCTGGCCAACATGGTGAAACCCCATCTCTACTAAAAATACAAAAAATTACGCGTGGTGGCAGGAGCCTGTAATCCCAGCTACTTGGGAGACTGAGGCGGGAGAATCACTTGAACCCGGAAGGCGGAGGTTGCAGTGAGCTGAGATCGCACCACTACACTCCAGCCTGGGTGACAGAGCGAACTCTGTCTCAAAAAAAAGAAAAGAAAAGAAAAGAAAAAAAAAGAAACAGCTAAAAATGCTGAAAGGGTTGCCTCTAGGAAGTGAAAATGGAGTTGGGAAAGGAAGAGTAAAACAGGGATTGATATTTTTCTTACAGTCATTAGAGTACTATTGGGCTTTTGAAATTAGATATATTTCTTACTCGGATAAAAAAATTAAACATCAGAGAAAAGTATAGGAAAAATTAACACACACATGGGAAAGGACATTAATAGGCAATTCACAAAATACAAAGAACCAATTGACATAAAAATTTATTTTACTAAAAAATTAGGTAAGTAAAAACATGCACAGCAATCAAGTATGTTTTTCCATCGAATTATAAAAAGTCTGACTTCTCTGCTTATTGTTTTTCCTGTTCAGTAGATTGGAAATGTCATAACACTTACCTTGATTAATTTATTTCAAGGAAGCAATGAGATAATGCACAAGAACTCTAAACTCTTGTATGAATAGAAAGCAATGGAAAACAAGAAAGCTGCCTCCAGGATACAGTCCTCAAATCTGGCTAAAAAGATAGTGCCAACTTTCACATTTGACATTCTTTTATTTAAATAGATAATTCCAATTGTAAAAGTATCCCCCTACCCCGCATGAGATTCGATAAGACTACTAAGTGGAAGGAAATTTTCATGTTTTCTGACTTGACCCTGTGCAAAATGTTTGCTCTTCATTAATCTATCTAATTACACTGGTGGAAAGAGCAGAGGGAGAAATAAGCATGTAACATACACATTAGACTGTTCTTATCAGGTGTTTCAAAGGTGCTGGGTCATGTTTAGGGTGACCACACGTCCTGGTTTGTCTGACACCGTCCTGGTTTATGGCTGTATTCTAAGAGTGATTATCAATAGCACCTACTTTTATTCTCAGAGTGTTCTCATTTGGATGATAAATTATATGGCTACCCTAAGTCAACAGGTATTAATTTATGCTAATTAGAAGACAAAATGCTTTAGGTACCATATGAGAAAAGGTAAATTTGTTATATTGCACATGTTTTAAGACATTGGATTATATTCTTGATGACACAAAATACTATAATATGTGTGTGGCTAATGCAGTTAGAATGAGTTTTGTTTTGTTTTGTTTTCTCTCTCTCAAAAGATAAATGAAATCTGCTTAACATTTGGACAAATTCTTTGTTGTCAGCCCATATGCTTCAACAGCTTACTATGGCGTTTGTCCCAAGAAATCTACCGTAAGTTGAAATATGGTAAGTCAAAACTGCATTAAGAAAAACGTTTTTAAAAGTGAGAAAAAAACAAACAAAAAACCTGCATTTAATACCCCGATAAACCCATCATAAAGTGAAAAAAATCATAAGTCAAACGTCGTAAGTTGGTGACTATCTATATTCTGTAGCATGTTGACAGGGAATAGATAGATTTATCCTGGAAAATATTAAAGTCAAATGATACAAAGAAACCTTGTCCATTAAAAACAAATGCCAGTACAGCTCCTATGAAACTTGTTTTTCCAACTTTTATTTTAAGTTCAGGGGTACATGTGGAGGATGTGCAGGTTTGTTATACAGGTAAACATGTGCCATGGCGGTTTGCTGCACAGATCATCCCGTTACCTAGGTATTAAGCCCAGCACTCATCAGCTATTCTTCTTAGTGCTCTCCCTCCTCCTACCTCCAACCCTTTGACAGGCCCCAGTGTGTGTTGTTCCCTCGATGTGTCTATGTGTTCGCATCATTCAGCTCCCACTTATAAGTGAGAACACGCAGTGTTTGGTTTTGTGGAACTTGTTATTTTTAACAGAACTTCATAATGGCACCACCTGATTTACTGCAGAGTGCACCCGTCTCTATAATCGATATTCTTAGTGGTGATCCCAAGGATCTACAACATTCTAAATTGTTTTCTATATAAGTAAGGGAATTTACAAATGATGATATCTACCTTCCTTATCAACCAAAATTTCTTGGAATGGCTGAAGAAAAAAAGTTATACTTTAATAACCTATCAGTGCACTGGAAAGTGAGAAAGAGTGCCATCAGCTTGCTAGAAACTAAGAAATTCCTGAAAGAGGGAAAGCAAACAGGCTCGCATGTATAGAGTAATGAGTCTAGAGGGAACTTTATCCAAAATAGGTGGGGGAGAGACCTTCTGTGAAAGTGGGGGGCATGTCCTCGGGGAATAAAAGGTGTGAGAAGCGGTCCCAGGGGCAATCATTGCGGTGATCGATTCATTAGGGAACTTCACTTAAGAGCAGGTTAGCCAGTTTCTGTTTTGGTTGAGCAACTGACAATGATGGCCTTGCTCTCAACATAAAGCAGACATTGTGAGTTCTAGAGATGGAGAGGCAGGGAAATGCCTCAGTAGCTAATGAACCTCTTAATATAATCTATCAAAATGTTACAGTAGGGAGCTAGTTAGACATGAGCAGGGCAGGAGAAGCCCCACCACCACCACCACCACCAGGAATGTCAGGTGACCATCAGGTGATGGTCAGGGGGTTGTTACACTGTTTCTTTAAAATAATAATTGGTTGCAGCCAGCGCCAGGGAAAGGCAGCCTCCCAATAGACAGAAAACACCTGAAACTGGTGATGAGCAGCTTCCTGATCAGATCTCGGGAGTTGGGCGAGTGGGCTCACACATGCACACTAAAAGGCAAAATGGTGATGTTTAACTGGTGCATGACCTTCCTCTAGGAACGCTTGACTGGTAAGGGAAGGACACCTCAAGAGCATGCATACAACTTCAGTAAACACACTGTGCGTGTGTCCCCCGCCCCCGCCAAGGCCTAGCAGACCACTGTACATGTGGACAGCCCACCCCAAGGAAAGGATCAGGGAGAAGTAATGCAGTCCCGGAAGCATGCCAACCTATAAGACCCTAAGTCAAACGTCAGACTACACACTTGATCCCTCAAGTCACCCACTAGGCCCTTTTCCAAGTGTACTTTAATTCCTTTCATTCCTGCTCTAAAGCTTTTATTTTATTTATTTTTTTGAAATGGAGTCTTGCTCCATCATCCAGGCTGGAGCGCAGTGGCGTGATCTCGGCTCACTGCAACCTCTGCCACCCAGGTTCAAGCGATTCTTGTGTCTCAGCCTCCCAAGTAGCTGGGACTACAGGCACACACCACCACACCTGGCTAATTTTTGTATTTTTAGTAGAGATGGGGTTTCACCATGTTGGCCAGGATGGTCTCGAACTCCTGACCTCAGGTGAGCCACCTGTCTCAGCATCCCAAAGTGCTGGGATTACAGACGTGAGCCACCACACCCGGCCTGCTCTAAAGCTTTTAAATAAACTTTCACTCCTGCTCTAAAACTTGCCTCGATCTTTCACTTTGCCTTATGCCCCTCAGCCAAATTCTTTCTTCTGAGGAGGCAAGAATTAAGGTTGCTATTGACCCAGTAGGTTTTGCCACCACTAAGAAACCTGTGGAGATATTTCATCTTTTATCTGTAGCTATCTGCTTAGGAAGAAAAGGAAAGGTAGCTTCTTCCATGACTCAGCTTTCAATTAATTTTTTTTTTTTTGGCAGAGTGAATTGGGGCCCCAGGTTTTTATTTTCCTTTCATAAAAGCAATTAAGAAAAGACTTAAAGACAAGTGTAATAATGTTCAAAGAAGAACTTCAGGCGAATTAAATTTAACAGAGTTTAACTGGGTGAAGAACGATTTACAAATTGGGGAGCCTCCTGAGAAAGAGTAGGCTCTGAGACTCCAGTGCAGCCATGTGGTGGAAGAAGATTTATGGACAGAAAAAGGAAAGTGGTGTACAGAAAATGGAAATGAGGTACAGAAACAGGCAGATCGGTTATAGCTTGGCGTTTGTCTTATTTGAACATGGTTTGAACAGTTGGCCATCTTTGATTGGCCAAAACTCGGTGTTTGGCACAAGAGAAGGTTACAGTTTGTTTACACCTCCATTTAGGTTATAGTTCATGATGTACCTTCAGGCTATAGTTCATGATGTACCTTTAGGTTCAGAGAAACCTTTAGGCTTAACTTAAAATATGTAAGAAGGCAGCTTTAGGCTAGACTTGTTTTAACAATTCCCCCTTTTTGATCATTCTCTCAAAATTTGGTCAAAATTGAGAAGATGACCAAAACTTTAGTCACTGATGGCACTATTACCATCATAAATGTACATATTTGCTCTTGAAACCCACTGGGAAATAGTTTAACAGTGGATTTTGTAAAATGGGAAAGAGGACTTCAGGTCACTTTTTTTTTTTTTTTTTTGGTAAGGGTTAGAGTAGAGGGTACCTCTGTGTGCTGCAATGGCCTATTCACAGGAGAAAAAAAACAAAACTTGGTCTATTCTAGGATTTATGTGTTTCCTTAAAGTCTTAGTGTGATTATGTGGCGTTTAGCACAATTGACTCCATTTTGGTTTGGTCAGGTCTGCTGAGGCCTAGTGCGTGAGCTTAATCCAAAACAATGGCCTCCCTTAACTTTGTTTAAAAATTCCCTTTGTTTGGTCAGGTTCTCACTTAGGTGAGAGTGTGACCAAAACTTAGGGCCTCAGTGCCTCTCTCCATTATTATTATTTTGGGTTTCTGGTCTCAGCACGTCATTCATAGGTTAGGGTGCCCTCAGGGTCACACATTTCTTTTAGCTCTTGATATTCCGGTTGAAGAGAGACTGCTTGACATTCTAGAGATGGCGGCATGCAAACTTTTAAAACTTTTGAGGGAATACAGCACACCAGGGAGACTACTATTTTGACTATCCAGAGGATAATACCAAGAGTTTGGCGTATGCTCCTTAGCTAAGGTCCCCATAAACCAAACCACCTAAAATCAAACAGATCAAAGAATGAGCTAGATGGTCTACTCGCTTTAAGCATTCTCTTCGTTAATCCTCTGCAACTGAATCTCTGTAATACCTGATGTGTTGTATTTCTTCTTAGACAACAAGAAATGCCAGCAGCTGTATAGATACTTCTTTGTTTAGTCAGTAAGCAATCTAGAGCAATTCTATTATTTAGCATCACTTTCACAAGAGAATTTAAAGTCTGTCATGTAAACATAGCCTTTGTAGTAGAATCTGCTATAGAGCCTATCATGAGGGATCAATTTTTAATTCACTCCAAACCACGAAAATTTACTGCAAACTGTGAAAAAGGACGTAACAAATGATGCCCTTCTAGAAGAGTTTAGACCTTTTGGCAATGTGCTCTTTATTATTATTATTTTTAATTTATTTGTCATTTCTGAGACGCAGTCTCACTGTGTCACTCAGCCAGAAGTGTAATCGCTTGATCTCGGCTCACTGCAACCTCTGCCTTCCATGTTCAAGCGATTCTCCTGCCTCAGTCTCCTGAGAAGCTGGGATTATAGGAGCCTGCCACCACGCCCGGCTAATTTTTGTATGTTTAGTAGAGACAAGGTTTTACCATGTTGGCCAGGCTGGTCTCAAACTCCTGACCTCAGGTGATCCACCCGCCTCAGCCTCCCAAAAGGCTGGAATTACCAGAATGAGCCACTGCATCCAGCCGACAATGTTCTATTTAGCTCATGATGTAGGTTGAGAGGATTGAACTTAAGTTCTTTTCCTGACTGATTATGAGGCAACACATGTACCATTAAAATTTCTCAGCCGGGCGCGGTGGCTCACACCTGTAATCCCAGCACTTTGGGAGGCCGAGGCAGGCAGATCACGAGGTCAGGAGATCGAGACCATCCTGGCTAACACAGTGAAACTCTGTTTCTACTAAAAATACAAAAAATTAGCCGGGCATGGTGGCAGGGACCTGCAGTGCCAGCTACTCGGGAGGCTGAGGCAGGAGAATTGTTTGAACCCGCGAGGTGGAGGTTGCAATGAGCCGAAATTGCGCCACAGCATTCTGGCCTGGCAACAGAGCAAGACTCTGCCTCAAAAAAAAAAAAAAAAAAAAAAAGGAAGTTTAATCGACTCATGGTTCTGCAGCCTGTCCAGGAGGCATAGGCACATAAGGCAGCTTCTACTTCTAGGGAAGCCTCAGGAATCTTACAATCATGGCGGAAGAGGAAGCAGGCTCATCTTACATGGCTGGAGCAGGAGCAAGAGAGAGCGAGTGGGGAGGTGCCACATATTTTTAAACAACCAGATCTTGTGAGAACTCACTCACTACCCAGTACCAAGGCAGGATGGTGCTACACCATTCATGAGAACTGTGCCCCCATTATCCAGTCACCTTCTACCAGGCCTCACCTCCCAACACCAGGGATTACAATTTGGTGTGAGATTTGTTTAGGGACACAGATCCAAACCATATCAGAAACTTAACTCTGAAACCCTGTGTGAATATAGTACCTATCAAGGCTCGACATAGATATTGAGATGTTTTCTAAATTAATCTTCTCTCAGTCTGTTCTTGTAAAGTTACGAAACCAAAAGAAAATAGAATTAACACTGTCTTAGTCTTTTCTGGCTGCTATAACAAAACAGCGTAGACTGGGTAATTTATAAACAACAGAAATTTACTTCTCACGGTTCCAGAGCCTGGAAAGTCCAAGATGAGGCTCTGGCAGATTTGGTGTCTGATGAGGGCCATTTTCCGGTTCATAGTGTTACTGGTAGAAGAGACCAAGTTACCCCGAGTTACTGGTGGCGAATCCATAGGCATCTGCAGCAACTTCAGCCCTGGCCTCCTCAGAAGAATGAATTCAACTGAGGGGGATAAAGCAGAAAAAGAGACTGAGGCAAGTTTCAGAGCAGGAATGGAGGTTTATTAAAAAGGCTTTAGAACGGGAAAGAAAGGAAAGAACCCTTGGAAGAGATCCAAGTGGGCGCCTGAAGGTCAAAGAGAGAAAAAAGCAGAGCCTTGAACCTTGATCCTAGGAGTTTATAGGCTGGCCTCTTTCCCATGATTCTTCCCTTAGGCTGGGCTTTCTGCACGTGCAGTGCCCTCCTTACCCTTAGGAACTGAGTATGCACAGTTTAGGTGCCCAGCAATGACTCTGAGTCATGCTTACCCAGCATTTCCTTGGAATCAACATGTGTATCGTCAATAACGTGTTGCATTCATTACCACAGCTCTTCTGCTCTTCCTAGAAGCTGATTAGGGAGCACGTTTAGGGAGTTAGACGCTTGCCCATCTGAGGCTTTCTTCCTTTTTCTGATGGCACGTACCTGGAACATCGTACTTTGCCATTTTTATGTCTTAATGTGCATGCCCAGGAAGTTGCTTCTCCCTGGGGTCTGCATTCAGTTAACATTTTTTTTTGTTAACATGTGTGAATCATCAGGAAATGACCTCCCCCTGGCGCTGCCCAATTATTGTTTTTAAAGAGGCAATGCAATGATTGTCGAACCATCACGCAGCATTCCTAGTGGGTTGCGGGGGAGAGCCCTCTCCTTTCCCGCTCATGCCTATCTATCTACTTATAACAATAGTGGACACACCTTCTAGCTGTGTCTTCACATGGTGGAAGGGCAAATGAGCTTCCTTGGTCTATTTTGTAAGAGCACTAATCCCATTGATGAAGCCTCTGCCCTCATAATCTAATCACCTCTCAAAAGAAAGGGATTGGCCAGGTGTGGTGGATCACACCTGTAATCTTAGCACTTTGGGAGGCTAAGGCAGGCAGATTGCCTGGGGTCAGGAGTTCAAGACCACCCTGGGCAACATGGTGAAACCCATCTCTACTAATACATACAAAAATTAAACAGGCATGGTGGCGCGTGCCTGTAGTTCCAGCTACTCTGGAGGCTGAAGCAGGAGAATTGCTTGAACCCAAGAGTCGGAGGTTGCAGTGAGCCAAGATTGCGCCACTGCACTCCAACTTTAGTGACAGAGCAAGACTCCATCTCCAAAAAAAAAAAAGGAAGAAAAAAGGGGATTATCCTCTGTATATAATCATGTTAGGGGTTAGGATTTCAACATTAGAATTGCAGGGGAACACAGACATTCAGACCATAGCAAACACCAAACACCAACTAGGCAAAAAAGAACAGACCCCCAGTGCCATCAGGGTCACACTGACATGTAGAAGCCCACCCACATCTGAAATTCTGAACTCCTCTACCCCTGGGGTGGGCTGAGGGATCATCTGAAATGACGCAGACAAATGAATCTCACTTTCTGGATTTATTTATAGACCCCCTGTGTTGCAGAGCTCTACTCCCTTCCCACTGTGGCCACACACCAACCTGAACAGTATCTCAAAACAGCTTGAGGTATGGTGTGTGCTCTCCAGGATGACTCCTGCCTTTGAAATGGTCCCTAATGCTGCCATAACCACCCAACCAGCTAAAGCTGAATATATTGATAGTCTCAGCTCAGAACAAATTGCAGTTTAGCGTTTCCTACCTGAGTGTACAGGCACTAAGTCTAGCTTTGCTTTTGAAGTTAATTGTTCTCTCCTTTATCTGTCTGATATGGCCCTAATCTATATTAACACATTACATTTGCTCAAAGGTAATTTTTATCCATTAAAAATAACTCGAGAATGTTCTTTTCTTTGAAAGAATCAGCACTCCTCCATGACTGCTTTACATGTTCGCTATTTGAAGAGTGACTCAATCACTGCCAGACCTTTTTCCCTTCAATTAACTCAGAACATCCAAGATTGAACTCATCATCATTGCTTTGAGAAGGCAGCCCTCTCCGGCCCCTGCTGCAAACCCCATTTCCAGGAGTTCCATGACTCTGCTGTCTGCCAGGCTACAAGACCTCTGATTCTTCTTACTCTCTGTGTTCACTAAGAAGTATCATTTTGTTTTTCAATTTCCTGTAGGATTTTTCCAGTCCTGTCCATTTTTATGCTTACCCCCAGTCCAGATCTTCATCTCTTCACACCTGTATCCGTTATGATTGTATTGTACCTCCTATTTCCACAAGCTTAACAGTTGTCTTCGCATTCAGCAAATACTAATTGTCACAGTGTGCTAAGCCTTTCCTGTCCAATTCCATTCTACACACTATTCCCAGACTAATTTTCTTAACATGTGCACTTATCACTGTGCCAAGATGGTCAGTTGATCCCAGTCTGCTTTCTTTCCTTCAGACATAGAAAGAGAATTTATAGTTGGGCACTCAGTTAAAAATTTCCTCCCATCGATTTTTCTCACATCCACCTCTTCTGGGACTCTACGATTGGAGGTTGACCTGTGTATTGGGCCATTCATTTTCTTATTCTTCATTTCCTATTTTCTATCTCTTTATCTTTTGGCTCTACTTTCTGGGAAATTCTCTCATGATTATCTTGTAACTCTAATAATGAGACTTTCTTCTTCTCACTCTGTCTTTGTTTCCTGTGTGTATGTGTGTGTGTGTGTGTGTGTGTGCGCCTTTCATATTGGCTGCTCACACATCTGGTGCTCCAGGCTATCTTCCTTTGTAAGAGTGGAGCCTGTGAAGCTGATTGACAATTCTGTGTGCGTGGGAAGTTTGTCAACTATGGTCTTCACTGCAGGGTGGCCTAATAGAGTCATTTTATTGGAGAACTTCCAAAGTCAATATTTGTAGGTCTTTTGCCTTGAGCTGGTCATCTTCCCCAGGGAAGAATCTTCCAGACTTCAACCTGGAGATAATAGGCCTCGCTCTCAGTTCTCTGGGAAGTTGTTGAAGGTCTAGACATCAATTAGAGAAACTTCCCATCATTCCTCTTGTTTTCCATCCAGTATCTTCAAACTCAACTGTGCTTGTACAACACTGTTTTATTATCTCCACACTTCTGTCAAAGTAGGAGAGGCCATCTGAGCAGAGTCGACAGACTTAGCAAATCAAAATGCAGGCACCCACTTACATTTAAATTTCAGATAACAAGTAATTGTTTAACATAAGTGTGCCTCATGCAATATTTGCGACACACTTATACTCAGAAAATTATTCATTCCTTATCTGAAATTCAGATTTAACTGGGTATCCTATATTATCTGGCAACCCTACATCTGGGTGTTAAACTGCTTCTCAAATAGACTTCGTGCCAGTCTTCCTGTTTTGGGCCCCATTTTTACCCCTACAAGAGATGCCTGGATCTGCCAGTATCTGATCCTTCAGGCAATGCGAATCAAGCTGTTTTCCAGTTTATCTTGGAGCTGACTTGGGAATGGCTTTCTTAGGTCTGCTAAGTCAGTTACCACTTGCCCATCTGCTTTCCAGCTTCCAAAATTGGGTGGCTGTTTGTTTTTCTCTTATAAATCTATAAAGCTTTATAGGCTTAAGTCTTTTTGTTTTGTTTGTTTTGCTTTAGTATTGATTTTGGTTTCTTTTGCTCATCATAATATTTTTGGTTTTTAAGCATCTCAATTGAGGTGTTACGTTTTAAGCCATACAATTTGTGCTATTTGGCAAATGTACATGGTCGGGTAGCCACAGCCATAATCAACACATAGAGTATTTCCCACTACCTCGGAAAATTTCCTTCTGCTGCTTTGCCCTCATTCTCTTCCTCCACTCCCTGGCCTCTGGCAATCACTGATCTACTTTATGTTATTTTAGTTTTGATTTTTGTACAGTTTCATAAAGTGAGATCATGGCATATGTAATCTTTTGTGTCTGGCTGCCATCACTTAGCATAATGCTTCTGAGATTCATCATGCATCACGCATTGCTGCGTGTATCAGCAGTTTTCTCCTTTTACTGCTGAGTAGTATTCCATTGTATGAATATATACAATTTGTTTACCCATTTGCCAGTTGAAGAACATTCATTTCCAAGTTTTGGCTATTTGAATAAAGCTGCTATGAACGTTGATATACAAGTCATTGTGTGGTTACATGTGTTCATTTCTCTCATGTAAATTCCTAGGAGTGTTTCTGAGTCACATAATAGGTTTATGTTTAGTTTTGTAAGAAATTGCAAACTGTTTTGCAGAGTGGCTGTACCATTTACCATTTTAAATTTCCACCGGCATGTGTGAGGCTTCCAGGGGTTCTACAGCCTCAAAAATACTTGACGTTGTCAGTTGAATTAATTTTAGCCACTTTATTGAGTATGTAGTCCTATCTTGTTGTGGTTTTCATTTGCATTTCCCTATTGATTTTGAGCATCTTATTTGCCATTCAAATATTATCTTTGGTAATGTGTCTGTTCAAATCTTTTGCGAAATTTAAAAAATGAGGTTATTTATCTTCTTATTGATCTTGTAAGAGTTATTTCTGTGTTCTGGATACATTCCTTTTCAGATAAATGATTTGCAAATATAGTTAACCCTCATTATTCATGGATTCCATATTTTTGAAATCAACTATCCACTAAAGACTTTTTATAACTCCATTTAAGATACTGTAAGGACATATTGTGACTGTATGGCCAATGATAGCCATAGGCCCACTCAGACACTTCACAGGGTTGACACTATGTGTCACATAGCAGTGTGATGCAGCCTGGCCCTGGCGTTTCCAGTCTTGGCCCTAGATTTCCAGGGGATGAGATCACCTCAGCACAGATGCAACTCTCATAAATCTTACAACGAATCTGACACTTAGAGGAATAGCTTAAACTCTGTGAAAGAAATACCTGGTGACTGACCCAGACTGAATACAGGTATAAGAAAGGAGATGAATCCTCCAAACTCTGAGAATGGTCTCTAGATGGGGACCCTCCTGGTCAGGTGGTTATCCAACCCCTGACTGTGTCCAGCCCGTGCCACCAGCCTGTCCTGCTATCCGTCTTAGAAGAAGAGTGCTGTGAGAATAAACTGAGCAGCTGATGTTTCTGAATACTCATCTTTAACATCATCAGATGGAAAGGGAAAAGTCCCCCCTGGAGGAGCTAGTTAACTAGGCCCACCCGAGAGTTTCCAAAACAACACCCCCAACTCAGCACTCGCAGCACTTTTGTGGTCATTTGCAGACATGCAGAGTGGTGAAACATTTGAATTACTCGATGTGCAAAATCTCAGCTGAGGCTGTATAGGACGATGCTCTGCCGCCTTGTTCCAGCTCTCAAACCGTAAACAAATGTCCATTCTGCACCCTGTATAGAGCCACGCTTTTGCATTTTTGTACTTTTGTTGGTGATTTTGCTGTTTAAAATGCCCCCAGGCACGGTGCTGAAGTGCTGTCTACTGTCTCTGAGTGCAGGAGGCTGCGATGTGCCTGTGGAGACAGTACCTGTGCTGGATGAGGTGCCTTCAGCGTAAGTTGCTGTGCTTTTGGCATTAAGTTCAGTGTTAATGAAGCAACAGCCAGGTACATTGAGGCAAATCACCTCTTCCCACCAGAAAGTGCTAAAGTAGCATCTATAGTAGGTGACAAAACTGTGGGAAAAATGGAAAAGCGGCTAAATTTGTGGATTTGTGAGACAATGTGTGATTAAAACAAAAAAGTGTTGTGAGGCTGAAAGCCAAAGTCAGGAAAATGTCAAGCCCTTCTCAGCTAGCGCTGACTGGCTCGCATGTTCCAGAAGGTGATACAACGTGAAAAAGGTTAAACCTGCAGGCGAGGCGGGTTCTGCAGATCAGGAGGCTGTGGGAGAATTGTAAAAACGCCTTCTGAGTGCTATACAGGAAAAGGGTTATGTGGTAGGGGAGGTTCTCAATGCTGATGAGACCTGTGTGTTCTACTAGGATGTTGATAAACAAACGTATGTAACACAAATGGTGTTTCAGCTCATGAAAACGTTGTGACCAGACGCTCACAGAACCTAACCTGTGCTTTCCCCAGGAGAAATAGTTCAGTATTCATTAGTTCTGGGTTTGAGGCACATTCACAGAACATAACTACCTACCTCGAATCACAAGAATCAGCTGTGCTTCCCTCTATCCCTGCCCTGGGGGCTCCAGTCCCATTGAACTCTCTGTAGTTGCCTGAAGATGCTTTTCCTGGGGTGCCCTCTCCTCTCCATCTAGTCACCCAGATCCATCCTTTAAGCCTCAGCCCCAGTGATGCCCAGGAAGTCTCTCTGGACCCTCCCCTAGGGCGGCTGGGAATCTTTTCTTCAGCGCCAGGTGACATGCCCTGCACACACCTCTGGCTCAGCGCGCATCGCAGCAGCGGGATCGGTCACACACTCCTCCGCCTCCCCCACCAGCCTCTGAGCTGCTTCAGGGCAGGCCCTTTCTTTTCTTTCTATCTATACACACATATGTGTATATATGTATATTTGTATATGTGTGCACATATAGACATGTATTGGGAGCTAGCAAAAACCAACACTGTAAGATAATATCCTATGTTACACTGTTATTTTATTATTTAAATTAATGTACAGTATCATGCCTATTTGATCAATTCCATGTTTTTATGTTCCGGTACTTAGCACAAAGCCTGGCCCATAGAAAGGATCAGTAAATATGTGTTGAAAAAATGTCTAAAAGTTAACAATATTTATTCATGCTACTGAATTGAGGCTTTCCGAGTTATAAGTTTTTAATAAGTAGATAAAATCATTTGAAATTAATATATAAAATTAACAGCTTGTTCCCTTAAACATTTTAAACAATTCCTCTTTTGCTGAGCAAAATTAAACTTCAGCTTAGTCTAAATGAAATAACTAGAAATGTGGATAAAGCAGTCTGAATTAATGAGTTTTTACCCTGCTCAGTCTAATTATAGAATATTGGAGCCAGAGAGATCTTAATGTATGCAGGTATTAATAAGGTTTTTCCAAGTTAGCTAAGGAGGTAGGAAGGTATATTAGTCCATTTTCACACTGCTGATAAAGACATACCCGAGACTGGGTAATTTATAGAGAAAAAGAGGTTTAATGGACTCACAGTTCCACATGGCTGGGGAGGCCTCACAATTATGGTGGAAGGTGACAGGCACTTCTTACATGGCAGCAGCAAGAGAATACCAGAGCCAAGCAAAAGGGGTTTCCCCTTATAAAACCAGATCTTGTAGGACTTACTCACTACCATGAGAGCAGTATGGGGGAAACTGCCCCCATGATTCAATTATTTCCCACTGGGCCTCTCCCACATAATCTTGAATTATAGGAGCTACAATTCCAGATGAGATTTGGGTGGGGACACCGCCAAACCATTTCAGAGGGGAAAGAGCAGAAACAGCCTCACCAGGCTAAGTGGGGCCTAAAAGGAAGGTCATTCACAGACAGCGCTGGGCTTGGCTTTCTGATAGCAGCTCCGTGAATCACTAACTAGCTGTCTCCGTGTCGGCAGGAGTTTGCCACTTCTGGAGCTGAGGCTGCTGCTGTGGAAACCCAGCAAGTGCAGCCTTTTTTGCCAGGGCTTGTCCTGACTCATTACTTCGACCACTACTCTCTCCCTTGTCTTACACTTCTGCCCACGCTAACAAGCATCAACAGGGACTTCTACAGGTCTCTGCAGGGGAAAAACTTTTTCCTATATGCTCTTAGGTTCAGTGTTTGGGACTCTGCAGATTAAACTGACAAAAGATAGGTTAACAGGAGAAAAGGCACACAAATTATATGTGATGTTAGTATTTTAATTTTTACATGTGCACAGGAAGGTCTCACACAAAAGGAAGTGAAAACCCAAAAAAGTGGTTAGGGCTGAGAGCTTATATACCATGTTAACAAAGGACAGTAAATTTGTGGAGAAGTGAATAAATGAAAGTGCTTGCGCTTCTAGGAGCAGTAAACCGTGGGAAGGTAAATATATGGGGGAAATTATGGGAAGTAAGTGTTATTTTAATAAGGTTTGCTTATGCAGATTCAGATTGGTGTCTGGTAAGCATCATCTCTTCCTGACATGGGAGAGGACAAGGGGAATATCTTCACAAAGGGAATTTATGTTCTGCTTTTAGGCAGAAAGGGGGCAGGTAGAGAGCTCATCTTGTGTCTGCTGTTTCTTGATTTCCTTCGGCAAAGCAATGTTTATGCCAAAGCGGCATCTTATGGAGTGGCAAACTCTCATCCCCTTTATCTCAAATTCAAATTCCCACAAAGAAAGCATCCCATTGCTTCAGATAGTCACCCTCCTTCTTGCTGAGTTGAGATCTCACATCAGTTCCTCTTCTGAGATAGGGTCTCAGCTCTAAATGGGCTGCCCTTGGGCCCAGCACCTCCTCCTGGAGCCTGGACAGTGAGAAGGCACAGTCTACTTTCTCAGAGGGCCTGTCTGAGTCACACCACTGGGAACTCTTCTCTGAATCAACAGAGGCAGAAACTGATGCCTGAAAAGGTGGGGTGGGAGGTGTTTCCTAGGAGGGTGCCCTTCAACCCTGTGATCTACGTCTCTGAAGCATGTCCTTGCCTCAGTATTGAGAAGTCTGTCTAGTTGGCTTGTTTCTTTCACCTGCTCAAATTGTTTGGGTTAAGCCTGCAAAGCCTGGATTAATAGACACATTTGGCTAACAGAATGTTTACACATATTATCAAAATAATTTATGGTTAGAATTTAAGGTTGTTTGATATCACTGGACACTGAACAAGTGGGCCCCCACAACATAGTGTTTATTTTCATTTTTTCATAAACCTAGATAAATGAATTGCTGTTTTAAAAACAAATACGTAACACAAGGGCAACTGGTATGAAGTTTACCAGAAGTCGCGGTTAGTTAGAAGCTATTATTAATTTTTTTAGAAGTTTGAAGCAAGGCAATGTGGAACATTTTATTTATTCCATTGATATTTATTGAGAATCAACTATGCACCGGGCACTGTTCTAAGCCCTGGAGATACATCAGTGAACCAGATAGACACATTTCTTGCTTTCATGGAACTTAAATAGTATATGTAATCAACCTGTTTTTCCATTTTTTAGAACAATGAAGAGTAGGGCAGGAGTGGAATGAGGGTCAAAAGTAAGCCTTGGAGTCCTGCCCCAAAGTTTTCTAATTAGATTATGAAGGAAAGACCTTATGCAACTAAATTACCCATTTGGGTCAGGTGTAGTGGCTCATGCCTGTAATCTCAGCACTTTGGGAGGCCAAGGCAGGAGATCACTTGAGGCCAGGAGTTCAAGACCAGCCTGGCAAACATAGGGAGACCTCATCTCTATAACAAATTTAAAAATTGGTAGGGCATAATGATGTGCACCTGTGGTCCCAGCTACTCAGGAGGCTGAGGTAGGAGGATCATTTGAGACTGGGAAGTCGAGGCTGCAGTGAGCTGTGATCGCGCCACCGCACTCCAGCCTGAGAGACAAAGGGTCATTTGTGTCCTATTGATATTTGTAATAATTAATGGTCTTGTTGCCCCTTAGGGTTGCTTCCTTTTCCTTTTCCCTCACTCTCATTTTCCCTGACTAAAAAGGAAAAAAACTCAACAAATAACTAGTAGCTGGCATGTTAATTATTAGATCACTTTTAAGCTTTAATAAACCCAATGATGTATGATGAAACCTCAGGCCCCATAGCCTGAGTAGGTACCAGTTTCATCACAAAAGACCCATTGTTGCCTCAGCCAGTGTTCATTGAGTTATGCAGCCCCAGGCTAGCATGAAGAACCCTGCCCTACCTCCAGCTCTGATTTACTTTATCTGAAGCAGATTCATCGCTGCTCACAAAATGAGTTCCTTGCAACCCATTAAAATCCTCAAAGTACAAGGCCATGAATGGGGCACTCCTTCTTGCTACTCTCAGCAAATTAGCAACCTGATTCTAAAATTTATGCAAGACGCAAAAGGCCAAGAAAAGCCAAGACATCCTTAAAGAACTAAAAAATAAAGCACTCGAGAGAAACTAAGACTTAATATAAAGCCACAAGAATTAACACAGTAACATTGAAACAAGAATAGAAAAGAGAGCAATGGAAAAATCAAAGTCCAAAAACAGAGCCACACATATGTAGGTATGTGATCTATGACAAAGAAAGTATTGGCCGGTGGCTCATGCCTGTAATCCCAGCACTTTGAGAGGCTGAGGTGGGCTGATCACGTGAGGTCAGGAGTTCAAGACCAGCCTGGCCAACATGGTGAAAACTCATCCCTACTAAAAGACACAAAAATTAGACGGGCATGGTGGTGGGCGCCTGCAATCCCAGCTTCTCAAAAGGCTGAGGCAGGAAAATTGCTTGAACCCGGGAAGCAGATATTGCAGTGAGTCGAGATCGCGCCACTGCACCCCAGCCTAGGCGACAGAGTGATACTCTGTCTCAAAAAAAAAAAAAAAAAGTATTGTAAGCCGGGCACGGTGGCTCATGCCTGTAAGCCCAGCACTTTGGGAGGCCAAAGCGGGTGGATCATCGGAGGTCAGGAGTTCGAGACTAGCATGGCCAACATGGTGAAACCCCGTCTCTACTAAAAATACAAAAAATTAGCCAGGCGTGGTGGCACGCACCTGTAATCCCAGCTACTCGGGAGGCTGAGGCAGGAGAATCACTTGAACCCAGGAGGTGGAGGTTGCAGTTAGCCAAGATCGTGCCATTGCACTCCAGCCTGGGCAATAAGAGCAACATTCTGGCTAAAAAAAAAAAAAAAAAAAAAAAAGAAAAAGAAAAAAGAAAGTATGGTAGACTAGTGAAAAAAATACATTTAAAAAAGTAATGGTGCAAAGTCATTTGAACAACTATATAAAAAAAAGAAAACCTTGGAACATATACCATCTACAACAATCAATTTCAGAAAGTAACTTTAAAAATAAATGTTTAGGTGGGCCACAGTGGCTCATGCCTGTAATCCCAAAACTTTGGGAGGCAGAAGCAGGCAGATTGCTTGAGTCCAGTAGTTTGAGACCAGCCTGTCCAACATGGCAAAACTCTTTCTCTACTAAAAATACAAAAATTAGGGGAGTGTGGTGGCGTATCTGTGGCCTCAGTTACTCAGAAGGCTGAGGTACAAGAATTGCTTGAACCATGGAAGTGGAGATTGCAGTCAGCCAAGATTGCACCACTGCACTCCAGCCTGGGAGACAGAGACTCCATCTCAAAAAAAAAAAAAAAAAAAAAAAAAAAAAAAAGAATATGAATGTTTAACAAATAGCACATAAGAGAAGATACATTATTTTTATAATATCAAGTTAGAGGAAGATTTCTTAAACAGATCACCAAAAAAAAACAGTACTTATAAAGAAAGAGATTGGCGAATTGGACTACATTCAAATTAAGAATTCCTGTTTATCACCTCTATGCATACAAACTAGAAAATCTAGAATAAATGGATAAATTCCTGGACACATATACCCTCCCAAGACGAAAGCAGGAAGAAATTGAATCCCTGAACAGACTCTGAAATTAAATCAGTAATAAATAGCCTACTGACTACAAAAAGGCCAGTCCAAGATAGATTCACAGCCAGATACTACCAGATGTATAAGAAGAAGCGGTATCATTCCTACTGAAACTATTCAAAAAAATTGAGGAGAGACTCCTCCCTCACTTTTTCTATGAGGCTAGCATTATTCTGACACCAAAACCTGGCAGAGACACCACAAAAAAATAAAGCTTAAGGCCAGTATTCTTGATGAACATCCATGCAAAAATCCTCAACAAAATGCAGGCAAACCAAATCCAACAGCACATCAAGAAGCTTATTCATCACGATCAAGTAGGGTTTATCCCTGGGGTAAAAGGTTGATTTAACATACTCAAATCAATAAATGTGACTTATCTCATAAACAGAACTAAAGACAAAAACCACATGATTATCTCAATATATGCAGAAAAGGCTTTTGATAAAATTCAATACCCTTTCATGTCAAAAACTCAATAAACGAGGTATTGAAGGAACATATCTCAAAATAATAAGAGCCATCCATGATAAACCTACAGACAACATCATACTGAATGGGGAAAAGCTGGAATCATTCCCCTCGAGAACTGGCATAAGAGAAGGATGCCCGCTCTCACCACTCCTATTCAACATTGTATTGGAAGAACAAGCCAGAGCAACCAGGCAAGAGAAAGAAAGAAAGGGCATCCAAATCGGAAGAGAAGTCAAACTGTCCCTGTTTGCAGATGACATGATTCTATATCTAGAAAACCCTATAGTCTCAGCCCAAAAACTCCTTAAGCTGATAAACAACTTCAACAAAGTCTCAGAATACAAAATCCATGTACTAAAGTCACTAGCATTCCTATACAGTAACAACAGTCAAGCCAACAGCCAAATCAGGAATGCAATCCCATTCGCAATTGGCACACACACAAAAAATACCTAGGAAGGCAGCTAACCAGGGAGGTGAAAGAGCTCTATAAGGAGAACTACAAAATGCTTCTCAAAGAAGTCAGAGATGACACAAACAAATGGAACAACATTCTATGCTCATGGATAGGAAGAATCAATATCATTAAAATGGCCATACTGCCCAAAGCAATTTATAGATTCATTGCTATTCCTATCAAACTACCAATGACATTCTTCAAAGAACTAGAAAAAACTTTTAAAATTCATATGGAACCAAAAAAGAGCCCAAATAGCTAAGGCAATCTGAAGCAAAAAAAAAAAAAAAAAAAAAAAAAAAAAAAAAAAAAAAGAAAAAAGAAAAAAAAGAAACAAAGCTGAAGGTATCATGCTACCTGACTTCAACTATACTACAGGGCTACAGCAACCAAAACAGCATGGTATATTGGTACAAACACAGATACATAGACCAATGGAGCAGAATAGAAAGCCCAGAAATAAGGCTGCAGGCTGCACACCTACAACCATCTGATCTTTGACAAAGCAAACAAAAACAAGCAGTGAGGAAAGGATTCTCTATTCCATACATTGTGCTGGGATAACTTGCTAACCATATGCAAAAGATTGAAACTGGACCCCTTCCTTACACCATATAAAAAAATCAACTCAAGATGGATTAAAGACTTAAATGTAACATCCCCAAACTATAAAAGCCCTGGAAGACAACCTAGGCAATACCATTCTGTATATAGCAACAGGCAAATATTTCATGATGAAGACACCAAAAGCAATTGCAACAACAGGAAAAATTGACAAATGGGATCTAATTAAACCAAAAAGCTTCTGCACAGCAAAGGAAAACATCAACAGAGTGAACAGGCAACCTACAGAATGGGAGAAAATATTTGCAAACTATGCATCTGACAAAGATTTAATATCCAGTATCTATAAGCAACTTAAATTAACAAATAAAAACCAAACAGCCCCATTAAAAAGTGGACGAAATACATGAATAGATACTTTTCAAAAGAAGACATACTTGTGGCCAACAGGCATATGAAAGAAAGCTCAACATCACTGATCATTAGAGAAATGCAAATCAAAACCACAATGAGATACCATCTCACATCAGTCAAAATTACTATTATTAAAAAGTCAAAAAATAACAAATGCTGGCAGGGTTGGGGAGAAAAAGGAAACAATTATATGCCATTGGTAGGTATGTAAATTAGACCAACCATTGTGGAAAACAGTGTAGCAATTCTTCAAAGACTTAAAAACAGAAATAGCATCCAACCCAGCAATCCCATTACTGGGTATATACCCAAAGGAATAGAAGTCTTTCTGTCATAAAGACACATGCATTTGTATGTTCGTTGCAACACTATTCACAATAGCAAAGACAGGGAATCAACCTAAATGCCCATCAATGGTAGACTGGATAAAGAAAATATGGTACATATCCACCATGGAATACTATGCAGCCGTAAAAATAGAACTAGATCATGTCTTTTGCAGGAACATGAATGGAGCTGGAGATCATTATCCTTAGCAAACTAATGCAGGACAGAAAACCAAATACTGCATGTTCTCACTTATAAGTGGGAGCTAAACGATGAGAACATATGCACACAAAGAGGAGAGCAACAGACACTGGGGCCTACCAGAGGGTGGAGGATGGGAGAAGGGAGAAGATCAGGAAAAATAACTAATGGGTACTAAGCTTAATACCTGGGTGACAAAATAATCTGCACGACAACACCCCATGTCATGAATTTACCTAACATAACAAACATGCACATGTAGCCCTGAACCTAAAATAAAAGTTAAAAGAAAAAAGAACTCCTGTTTATCAGAAGACACCCCTAAGGAAGTGAAGAGGTAAGTAACAGAGTGGGAGTAGATACAACACATATAACTGACAAAGGGCTCACATCCAGAATATGTAAACACTATGAATCAGTAAGAAAAAAATATCTAATGAAAAAGTGAAAAGATACCAAATTAAAATCAATGAGGCCAGGTGCGGTGGCTCATGCCTGTAATCCCAACATTTCAGGAGGCCGAGGCAGGAAGATCACTTGAGGTCAGGAGTTCAAGACCAGCCTGGCCAACATGGCAAAACCCCGTTTCTACTAAAAATACAAAAACTAGCTTGGTGTGGTGGCAGGCACCTGTAATCCCTGTTACATGGGGAGGCTGAGGCATGAGAATAGCTTGAACCTGGGAGGTAGAGGTTGCAGTGAGCCAAGATCACGCCACTGCACTCCAGCCTGGGTGACAGAGCGAAATTCTTGTCTCAGAAAAATAAAAAAAAAAAAGGGATACCACCACACATCCTCCAGGATAGCTAAATAAAAAAGACTGACAATTTTAAGTGTTGGCGAGGATATGGAGCAATAACTCTTAGTGCTGAAAGGAGTATATAGTGCTAGGTGTCATGTATTAGATTTTAAAATTAGCATATTTAGGACCTATGTATTTTACTCCTGGGATAACAGAAATGTATGCATCAGAAAAGACATGTACAATAATGGTTACTGGGACATCTGGGGTTTGGTCTAGGACCTGCTGCTCACAGCACAGAAAGTCAATCACTGAGAAGAGTATTGCCAGGGAAGGAGGCTTTAATTGAGTGCTGCAGCAGGAAGAACAGTAAGTTAGTCTCAAATCTGTCTCCCTGACCAACTAAAATTGGGGGGTTTATATAGTGAGGAAGGCAGGAAAACAGGAATTAGGAAGGGGTAAGGAAGCAATCACGATGGACGAGGAGTCTGGCATCTCGTTGTCTGGATGCGGCCATCTGAGGAGTTTCCATTCTTTGCCTGAGGGTCAGTTTCTTGAGGAAGGAACTCAGATGGGACAAATGTAAGTTTGAAGTTTTAAGATCAGGGAGGATCAATTTCCATGTTTATTCAAAAAACCATATATATTAGTTCTATGGGCCAATTGGGCTGGTTTCAGAATGCACATGTCATCATTATTTGTAATAGGAAAAAAAAATCTTGAAAAAAAATCCAAATGAGACTTCTCGTTTCCAGCTTGGAAGCTGTCACTCCTGTCCTTACAAGAAAAAAGTTGAACAAACTAAAAATCAACTTTTAGGTTTATCAGAGAATTGAGGTCACAGGACAAACCACTACCTCTTTAGAGAGGCAGGTGAATACAGCGAATCAATCATAGCTTACCAGGAGCAGAGGCCACTGGAGCCAGGACCAGGGAAAGAAAACCTAAATAGCAATTGCCAAATTGCTGGAGGCTCAGTGTGCATGAGCTTGAAACATAAACATTAGGAAGGTCCCATTATAGGGGGCCCACACTTTCATAAGCCTAACTCCAGGGGAGCCCCCACCAGGTGCTCAGAGAGAACACCAGAGAAAGGCTCTCTCCTGATTTCCTCAGGGAAGGGAAAAAGTAACCATTGTGAAATACATCCAGGACATTGTGTCTTAACAAAATCCCTCCCTGGAGGGAAGCTGTACCATGGAGGCTAACTACCTTATGGTTTTCCAGAGCCTAGCCGACCCAGGGGATGGAGAACACCCAGCTGCAGCCCCTTCTAGCCTTCCTGCCTCACCTAAGCAGGGATAGAGAAGGGTACTGGTTGGCTGAGAAGCAGCCCAAGGCACAGGCTCTGCAAAATGGAGACCTAATCATAGGTCTACAGAACACTTCCCTGCCCTCCACACCTCAGCACCACATCAATAGGGCTCTTGCAACAGGAGAGGACAGCCAAAAAAAATGCAAATTTTAGACCTTATTTAAGACGTCTCTGGGAAAACCCAAAGACAACAGGAGAGAAAAAACAAGAGGATTAGAGGAAATTTTAGCCTCTAACACCTGTAGCTAGAGCAAACTGTAGACAGCTGAACTCCCAGCCAGAGAAGCAACTTCACACTAAAGGCGTACTTGTCTCAGTTCTTTCTACCCAGTCATGTCTAGCAATTCAACAAAAAATGATGACACACGAACAGGCGAAACAACACAGCTTGAAGACGCAGAACAAGCATCAGAGCCAGACTCGGTTATGCCTGAGATTCTGGAATTATCAGACCAGAAATTTAAAGTACCTGTGAATAATAGGCTAAGGGCTCTAATGGAAAAAGTGGATCATATGAAAGAACAGATGGGCAATGTAAGCAGAGAAAAGAAATTTGCAGAATTGTAAGTAAGGAGAGAAATGTAACGTGACTAACTCCATCTTGCTTCTAACTTCACAGGCTAAATTGGTTTTTTGCTTAATCTAGTATAGAGGCCAAGATAACTATGAGAGGAATTTTGTTTATAGCTCAACTTTGAGGCAAGGAAAACTAACCCATCTCCTTGTTCGGAGGTTGAAGCCACATTCATAAGACAAAGTTAGAATTCTGGTAGGGTGTTGAATTTTGCTGAAGAAGAGGTGGCAGAGTTAAACAGTGACCCGTCATCATTCAGCTTGTTTTTCCATAAGTTGCTTCCTGATCCAGAGTCATGGAACCCAGGGTTGCAAGATTTATAAATTTCCCAACTACTCCTACAGATAGCATCACTGTTGTGAAACTGAAGGGGAACTGGTCTTTGAGACATTTTTCAGATTTAGCACTTTGGTCAACCAAGAGCTGCCACCTACCTGGTCCTGAGTCCCCCTCCCAGCTGGATAAAGACAGTTCTAAACAATTCCGCGATTTCCTCAATTGTTTCAGTTTCCCAGCCCCCTGCCTGGCAAAGTACCATTAAAAAAACCCCTCGTCTCCAAATTCTTGGAGAGACGGGTTTGAGACATCTCTCCCGGTCCTCGTCTGGCCGCCTCTGCAATAATTAAACTCTTACTTCTGCAATACTTCTTGTTCTCACTGCTCTTGGCTTTTTGGGCAGTGAGCAAGATGAACCCATTGCGCTGTTACGGAAACTCAAGAAAAGATCAAAAGGAAATGCTACAAATCAAAAACACTCTAACAGAAATTTAAAAATGCCTTTGACGGGCTCATCAGTAGCTCGAAAACGGCTGAGGAAAATCAGTGAGCTTGAAGATATGTCAATAGAAACTTCTTGAACTGAAAACAAAGAGAAAAAAGAATGAAAGCCATAGAACGGAATATGCAAAAACTGTGGGAGGGTTTAAAAAGACACGCATAATGGGAATACCAAAAGGGGAAGAAAGAAAGGAACAGAAGAAGTATTTGAAGTAATAATGGCTGAGAATTTTCTAAAATTAATAATAGACACAAAATGAAGGATCCAGGAAACCGAGAGAACACTGAACAGGTTATATGCACTTATATATATCATAGTCAAACTACAGGAAAATCAAAGAGAAAACCTTGAAAGAAGCCAGAGGAAATAAAACACCTTATTATAAAGGGACAAGGATAAAAACTACATCAGACTTCTGTTCAAAAACCATACAAGCAAGCAAGAAAAAACTCACCAACTTAGAATTCTGTGTCCAGTAAAATTATCCCTTAAAAGTGAAGGAGGTCGATGTGATGAATATGCTAATTATCTTGATTTGATCATTATGCGTTATTTGCATTGAAACATCACTGTGTATCCCATAAATATGTACAATTATTATACAATTATTTTACATCAATTTTTTAAAGTAAAGGAGAAATAAAGACTTTCTTAGACAAAAATTGAGGGAATTTAACACCAGTAGATCTGCCTGCCAAGAAATGCTAAAAGTTCTTTAGAGAGAAGGAAGATGCTGTAGGTCAGAAACTTGAAACTTTATCATTTTGAAAATGTGGGACCCTCCAGCTACCATCCCCTCCTCCCTCCCTCCCTACATCCCTCTCATACATTGACTGTCCTTAGGAAGTGAAGTAGCTTTTCCTGGAATCCTTAGTCAAAATTAACTCGGTGCCTGCTCGTTGCTTTCACACGTGTGTTAAGACACACACAGAATGGGGGATAATCACAATTTGTGGTGTGGAGGAAAATAAATTTTATTTTCAGTGAACTCTTGGTGTTCAAACCTTGTGGATTTCAGTACCTCCCATATGTGAGGTTCAAAAATCAGAGAAATGGCCGGGCACAGTGGCTCATGACTGTAATCCCGGCACTTTGGGAGGCCAAGGTGGGTGGATCACTTGAGGTCAGGAGTTTGAGACCAGCCTGGCCAACATGGCAAAACCCCGTCTCTACTAAAAATACAAAAATTTACTGGGCATGGTAGCGTACGCCTGTAATCCCAGCTACTAGGGAGGCTGAGGCAGGAGAACTGCTTGAACCCAGGAGGCGGAGGCTGCAGTGAGCCGAGATCACACCGCTGCGCTCCAGCCTGGACAACACAGCAAGACTCCCATCTCAAAAAACTAAAAATAAATAGAGAAACCCGTTAGTTTTAAAAGTGTCATTTAAGGGGGAGGAAAGTAGAGACTTCTGTGCACGTGAGTGAGTGAAAATTCACACATCTACTTCTGCCTTGCAATTTTTATGTGTAATGATGTCTTTACTTTGGCGGTTAGTTACGTCTGAGAATAAGTACACTCTATTAACAAGGAAACACTACTTTCTCCTCCCTTTCTCCAGAATGGGCTACTGGCTTCTCGCTCTCCTTTTCTCCTCCTTGCAGGTGACGTCACACTGTTCTGCTGACACCCTCCGTGAAAGTCAGGGCTGTGCGGAACTCACTCCAGCGCCCCCATCCTTAGCCGCTGCCTCCTGTCTCCCTGCCCAGGGCTCAGCCGCTAAGACAGACCCCCTGAGCTGTAGTGCACTCCAGGCTTCTGTCCTCGCAGACAATCCCCAGACACAGAGGACGGAGATCTCATTTCGGGTGGGACTCTGGAGCTTTTTCCAGAGCCAGACTGCTTGGTGGAGCCACTGCAGCATTCTGGAAGGGTCCTTGATTGAACATTTTGGGGCAGTGTTTTTTCTTGCCTGTCCTTTATAAAGGCTGTGGTGCAACCCTTCAGGCACTGTCTCCTTGAATGTGACTGGCACAGGGCCTGACACATAATCGTGCTCAATATCTTTCCTCTATGAGGGAGGCGCGCGCACACACACACACACACACACACACACACACAAAAGAACTACAGGGGAATTTTAGAAGAGACAGACAACTGTGTATGGCTGAGATGAGAATCAGAACTGTTTTGTGGATGAGGCTGATTAGAGGAAAAAATTAAAGTGTAGGTTCAATCCCTCATTCACCAGACACTATCACCAACTGGCATGTTTTAGTTTTGCTATGGAAAGAGAAATAATGGTGACTGAAAACAAACACAAGGCTTTACAATCTGGTGAAGCAGATGAATGTTCATCAATTAATTACATAAATAAATATAAATTCACACGGGAAGCAACCTAAATGTCCAATAGGAAAATGGTGAAATAAATTGTGATAGGTTCTTTTACTTTAATATTATGTGGCCACTGAAATTGTTTCAGGTCTGGGCACAGTGGCTCATGTTTGTAATAACAGCACTTTGGGAGGCTAAGGTGGGAGGATTACTTGAGCCCAGGAATTCCAGACCAGCCTGGGCAACATCATCATGTCTCTACAAATAATACAAAAATTAGCCAGGTGTGGTGGCACCTGCCTGTAGTCTCAGCTACTCAAGGCTGGGGCGGGAGCATCACTTGAGCCTGGGAGACGGAGGCTACAGTGAGCCATGACAGTGCCACTGCAGTCCTGCCTGGGTGACAGAGTGAGGAGTGAGACCCTGTCTCAAAAAAAAAAAAAAAAAAAAAAAAGGAAAAAACAAAATTGTTTCAAAGATTCATAAGATGAATACAATAACACTGGGTGTTTAAAAAGTGGGATATAGGCTGGGCATAGTGGCTTACGCCTGTAATCCCAGCACTTTGGGAGGCCAAGGCAGGCGGATCATGAAGTCAGGAGTTTGAGACCAGCCTGTCTAACATAGTGAAACCCGTCTCTACTAAAATACAAAAATTAGCTGGGTATGGTGGCATGCACCTCCAGCCCCAGCTACTCGTGAGGCTGAGGTGGGAGAATCGCTTGAATCCGGGAGGCGGAGGTTGCAGTGAGTCAAGACTACGTCATTGCATTCCAGCCTGGGTGACAGAGTGAGACTCTGTCTCAAAAGAAAAAAAAAAAGTGGGATATAAAAATACAAAATAAATCCCAATTTTATAAAAACAAATGCATGTTTGTCTGTGATAGGAAAGTTGTTACAGACCACAGTGAACAGTGATTTCCCCTGGTGATGGATTAGGAAGCATAGAGCATCTTCTCCTTAATGATGAATGTTTTGCGAGGAGGTAAATGGATTTGTTTTTCCAACGTTTAAATTTACAATTAGATGCTTTGCATGCTTTAAACGAGGAATTAAAGCTTTAGCATGGATTCTTTCTCTCTCTTTGAGTCGTTTCATTTGGTTTTGATGGGGCAGGAGTAAGGTGAAGGTCACCCAGCGCTTGTTGAGTGGGTCGTGTGTTTCTGGAAGAAGCCCTGGCAGAGAGGGGTTTTGAGAGATGTGACATCTGGGCTCTCATTCCCTTTCTGCACCTGTCTAAGCAGGTTCATCTCCTCTGTCTGCCGTTTGTCTTGTTTGGGGTTTTGTCTGCTATTTCTGAAGGCAAAAGCTTGTGTGCAAGGAGAAAGTTCTAAGAAATGCTTCCAGGGATGATGATGAGAGTTTGATTTTCAAGTGAGTGTTCCTGAGCATCTGATTAAACTCCTATGTCAGTATAAAAATGTACATTGTTCTGGATTAATTCCATCATTTCATAGCGATAACTCCCATCTTCTACAATTCCCACCAAAAGGGACTATCTTGTTTGAAAGCTTTTCCCTTGGGAGCCACTGGTGTATTATGTTTATCAGCTTTTTAAAAATTCTGTTTCTGTTTTTCCTTTAAAGTAGCTTGGCGTTTTTGAGCTGAAAATCAAAAGTACTGATGGTATACCCATGAAGATAGAATAAGGCATATAATTTGTTATACAAAGTGAAAATTCTAGAAGGTTTTTTCTCTAATCTGTAAAATTTTTTCTTTCAAGATAGTTTTTCTGTGTTCTCTAAATTTTTATTCCGAAGACCTACTGGGTCATTTAAAGTGAGAGAGACCAGTTGGACCAAGGATGATGGCACATAAACTTGTCTTTTACGATGGCTTGGACTTACCCTCCTTTGCGAAATAGAGATACTGAGAGTTGGCCTTATAAAGATGGGGGCTATTTTTGCATTATGATTCAAGAGATGATGAAAAAAACTCCTGCTGCTTTCCTTATACCCCAAATTACACAATTAGTGACTTATGCTTTTAAGTCTAGAAGACTTTTCATCGTGAGTTTCTGTTAAAATATAGATATCCAGGATGGAAAGCAGCTTCCATCCAGAATCTTACCAGGGTTCCTGCCACCAACTGAGAGGACAGAGTGGAACGACCTGGTGGGAAAACTCATCCCTGCTGGGCCTGAGGGATAGGCTGGAAGGAAACTGGCTTCGCCAAGGACTTTTCATAGCTGCTTCTGGTTCTGCAGTGAGAGATTCTAGTATATAGACTGTACAGTTACTCAGAAGAACAAGGGTAATGCATACACATTTCACCTGCTTGAAACTGGTTGGTCATTTGCTTCTGGAATTTAGTTTATTCTCTTTGCTGATTAATTTATAACCTATTCCATCTTTCTCCTCCCTTTGCTGGCAATTGCTGCTCTTTTTAGGGATTGTTGTGGGGAAGAGACTATGATTTTCTACCATAGTGTTTGTTAGAGTTCAATTCCATCCTACTATTCTGGGAAAATGTGGATCCTCCCACCTCTCAACCATCATCCCTTCCCTTTCTCAGTTTTTGTTCTGCTTCTGCAAGTTTTCTTAACATGTGGGCAATGGAATCGTTGAGCAATTTTGGTGAAATAAATTTCCATTTACCAACGTGTGAAGAGTACGCATTCAGGGACTTCCAGCGTAGGTATACAATAAACTGTGGACTGTGTTTGAGGAAACCCAGCTGTTCACTACCACAACTTGATGAAATGAACGATGGACTCGAGCCTTTCCGGGCTTGGCTGGCAGCCCCCGAGTCTCCGTCCCGTTCTAGGAAGAAGTGCACCAAGGTCACCGTGTGCAGGGAGAGAGAGTCACATGGCTCTCCACCAAGAACAGATCCCATCCCTGCTGTGTCTCTCAACCCTGCCTCCTGAGAGCGTCACGTTGAGAGATGTACCATCCCTGCTGCAGGAAGGAGTTTGTTAGCAAGCTCTGGGAAACATCTGGTTCCTTGAACTTCCTATGTACCTCATGGTGGGAGATTTTGAGACATTTCACCATTTATCAAAAATGGTTTTCAGTGTTAAAAATGGTTCTTTTTTGTTTTGGTTTTGTTCAGTCTTTCCTTTTTCTCAATGTATTTCCCATTTTTACTGTGCATATTCATATACATAATTTTTTTAAAAAAGGGTTTTATGCCAGGTGCGGTGGCTCACGCCTATAATCCCAGCACTTTGGGAGGCCGAGGCGGGCAGATCATGGGGTCAGGAGATCGAGACCATCCTGGCCAACATGGTGAAACCCTGTCTCTACTAAAATACAAAAAATTAGCTGGGCATGGCTGTGCGCGCCTGTAGTCCCAGCTACTCGGGAGGCTGAGGCAGGAGAATCACTTGAACCCAGGAGGAGGAGGTTGCAGTGAGCCGAGATCGCGCCACTGCACTCCAGCCTGGTGACAGAATGAGACTCCATCTCAAAAAAAAAAAAAAGGGGGAGGTTTACAATGTATAGTTTTTATCACCTAGTTACAACTAAATATTGTGAACATTTTCTCTTTTTTTCTACAACAGTTAAAATAATTACATAGTTTGGAAGAAACATAAGTTTTTAAGTAGTCTCACTGGGAAAACTGAGGTAAAATTTTTTTCCAAGAAGACTTCATTTTTTTTTTACAGTGTCTTGAGCAGAAAGGGAACTCCTGTCTTAGGTAGCTTGCTACAGATGATAGAAACTTGCCCTTCAATTAACCTTGTAACTTGCTTCTGTACACCCACATAATCGTGAATCAAGTGATCCACTTTGTCTTTTCCAATCTGTCTCTCCCACGTGCTTCTTCTTTCCTATCCAGTCTCATCATGCAGATGAACTTTCCTTACTTCAGCACTTCTGGCTCCTCCCTTTAAAAAGGGATGATATTAGTTGATTTTGATCAACTCTACTCAAAACTTTATCCTCAGTTCCACATTAGGATTAGCCTTTAATAATCTGAACATATAATTCAATTGCTTAAAAGAAAATATTATTAGAAGATCTTGGTAGAATTACACATATCAAGAAACACTGGACTCAGACATGATGTAGATATGACTGACTTTCTTTCCTTCTTTTTTTTTTGAGATGGAGTCTCACTCTGTCACCCAGGCTGGAGTGCAGTGGTACGACCTCAGCTCACTGCAACCTCTGCCTCCCAGGTTCAAGCGATTCTCCTGCCTCAGCCTCCCAAGTAGCTGGGACTACAGGCACACATCACCACATCCGGCTAATTTTGTATTTTTAGTAGAGATGGGCTTTCACTATGTTAGCCAGGCTGGTCCTGAACTCCTGACCTCAGGTGATCCACCTGCCTCAGTCTCCCAAAATGCTGGGATTATAGGCGTGAGCCACTGCACCCAGCCTCTTTTTTTTTTTTTTTTTTTAATAATTTCTCAGGGGAGGGCAGGGCAGAGGTAAGAAATAGTTGGTACTGTAAGGAAGTGTTAGAGACTATTATGGAAAGGTGTTCGTTATCTTAAGGCAACTAACAAACGATTATCTTTCAGTCAGAACATTGGAGCAGCAGCCTTTACTGGTCATGAAATTTGCATGATATCTAAACTTGTATTTGTAGAAAAAGGTAAATGTTGATTAATAGCAACTTTGTATAGAAAGGCAGATGCCAGCATAAAAGTGGTACATGAAGACAGTGGTAGTTTTGGAGTCCTGGTCCTTGAGGTGCTTGTCCATCACAAGGCCGTCACACCCAGGTAGAAATGCCTGAGGCAAGCAGCGGAGCTGTCCATGTCAGCATTTACACAGGGAACACTTCTTGGACAGCTGGGTGTCACGGGGCTCAAACCTACGGCTCTCATTGTGCATGTAATATTCACAGGTCTGTCCATAGAAGGACAGGGCTCAGACACAAAAGAACCCCAGCATGCAGGTTCCCCATTCAGACAGCAGGTTCTGTTTAGCTCCTTACTGTCTTGTATCCCCATGGAAGGGATATACTGGGAAGACCGTGGGTGAATTGCAGGCTCCTCCTGAGGCTGAATGCTGTCATCTCTGAAGGCTCGGCCTCCTGAGGTGACTGTGCAAGTTCATGGTGGCCCAACCCGGCAACGAATCCCGTTTCAAATGCCTTGAAATGGCCATGATCAAAATTACACTCTGACATTGTCCCCTGAACATTTGGGCAAGCCAGAGTATAGGAGAGAGAGAATTTTTCATTGTTTTTAGTTAGGAGGGAATGGCTGATGGTTGTTTGGCTATTCCACAGATTCACGGCAGAGCAGCTCCTTCTGGATCCCTCATCCCCATGCAAGCTGGGAGCTCTGCTCGGTGCTTCTCAAATCCGTTTTGTTTTTCTGAGTCAAAGGGGCTGCTGACAGCCCATGAGCCGGAGCACCTGAAGCAAATCTATTCCCAGCTTGAACAGTGCAGGTAAGGAAATTGCCAGAGTGACCATCACTAATTTTGCTCCCTGGTGCTAAGTGCACCTAGCGGGCATGCTGAGTTCTACCCCCTCCTGCCATCCAGTGGCGTCAGGGACTGGCATGGTCCCCAGTGCTTTGCTGCCTGGGCTGCCTGTCTGTGCAGGGCCAGTTTCAGCTGTGTGCAGCCTCCAAGCTTCAAGCACAAAGGATCACTCAGTTGCTGAAGAGCAGAAGCCCCAAGCATCTGTGGTAGTTTATTGGCGTGCTCAGTAATCTTCCTTCAGCTCAAGCAACAGGCTCCTAAACAAGGATCAGGTAGAACTATTTTGCATTCATTTGCAGCTAGCCATTAAAAAAATTACCCACTCGTTTAGGAAGCAGCCACAATTTATGCTTTGTGATAAAATTTTTCAAATGATTATATTTCTCAATGATTAAGCACCACGATCAAGTATGAAAAACAAATATTCAAAAATTTTCAATATATGCAATATATGTGATGAACATTTTAGTATTAAGAATGTTAAGAATCAGCAGTTTTAAAAAATAAAAAATGTAATAACATGAAAATATTTTAAACATTACTATAAATGAATAAAAAAGCATATATTTTTAAGCATCAGATTGGCAGAGATAGGAAAACTCACATCATGCCCTATGCCCATGAGAGACTGGGAAAAGCACCTGCTCATATATTACTGGTGGGAGCATTCATAGACACAGCGCTTTCGTAAGACTGTTTGGCAGTGTGTGATGACAGTTTAGAACTTGCACACTCATTTTCCGACATGGGAATTTCTTCTTAATTCATGCTGAGATAAGCAGACAAACCTCAAAGGAGACTGGCCGAGGATGGCTGAGTGCAGCGTTATTTATCTCCCATGCCGTCAGTGGAGAGCCTGCTCTGCCTCCTGTTCCGGTGATGTGCAACTCACTGGATTCAGAGCTTATGCGTAGCCCCAGGGCAAACCCAAGGTACCCGGCTAGTGACTGAAGGGACATTTCTTCTGTTCTGGGTAGAACAGTCACAGATTCTAGAGCAGGGGCCCTGACACTTGATGAGGAGCATCCACTTTGTCTTTCCCTGAAGCAAATCATTAATGTCCAGCACATGGCAGTTATGTCAGCTCCACAGATGGAGCCTGGCCCATGTGGCTGCTGTCCCCTGGGCTCAGCGTCCCTGCTCTGAGATCCACCTGCAGGTATTTAGCCAGGGCAGGTCTGGTCTCCTGCACTGACTGGCACCAGCCAGGATTAGAGACTGAGTGGCCTGGGGCTCCCTCCTGTGTCACCTTCGTTAAAGCTTCGAGTTCCAGGAGCAGCAGCCTTCTCCTTCCACCCTCTTCAGGAACACCACTGGAGCCTGGTGGCCATCTGGGTGACCCGATGCCCTCAGAGCAGCAGGGTTTGCTCCGTCGTCATGAATGGCATCTCCATGTGCCAGTGTCATCAGATGGTCAGAATGGGGTGTGGGGAGCACAAGGCAGTTGTGTTGTGGATTTTTTTTTCCTAGAGGAATTAGAAACCTATTTACATACAGTTAGCATGAATTTACATACGATCCTCTCATAACTAACTCCAAAAACTTCTCTATGAATTCAACTAATTAGTGCAACTAATCACTATTGTAGCCCAACCCAGCATTAAGGGCATTAAATACATAAAATACTGAATAGATTTGTAAAGTCATCATCATGATAATGGTAAATCAGCTTAGGTCGCTCCCAAACACAGCTGGCAATAGCTGCTCCCAGTCCTGATTCTTTATGCTGGAGCGATAGCTCAATTAACAAATTCCAGAGAAATTGTACCTTTATAACAGTTGGCTGAGTTAACTCCTACTCCCCACCTCCCCTAAAAAGCACAAAGAAGGAAAAGAAACTAATGTTAATTTACCATCTTTCATTCAATAGGCACTGTGCTAAGGGGGCACAGTTATTATTCCACATGTATTCTGTCATTCAATAAGAAATCTACATAGTTGTTGGTTGATGAAGAGAAGAACACATAGAGAATGTCACATTGTAGATTTGTAGGTTATCTGAGATTGCCCTTAGGGTGTGCAGTGTTTGGCCTGCATGAATGCCTGCCGCAGCTGAGTCTACCTTTCCCTCCTTTCTTACCCTGTATCCTGGAGTGACTAGACCACGGCCTGCCTTACTTGAGAATAGAAACTGTGGGGAGGGGAGCAGCTCAACCTGCTCTGCCACTGGCCATGTGTTGAATCCCAACTGATGGGTTCCACTGGGCATTGATATTGTCCTGCACATTATTGAAATGACATGCTCACCACTGGTGTGTATAGCTGACTTTCAGTAGGATTTGGGGAAATGTTACCCCTTCAGAGGTTGGGCAGGGGATAGGAGGGATCTGTTCTCAAACAGTACAAGAGTCCTCAAAATTCAAGCTACTCTGTGCAGTCATCTTAAAGTACTGATTTTTTTTCTTCCTTTCTTTTTTTTTTTTTTTTTTTTTTGAGATGGAGTCTCGCTCTGTCACCTAGGCTGGAGTGCAGTGGAGCAATCTTGGCTCACTGCACCCTCTGCCTCCCAGGTTATAGTGACTCTCCTGCCTCAGCCTCCTGAGTAGCTGGGATCACAGGTATGCACCACCACGCCTGGCTAATTTTTGCATTTTTGTAGTAAGAACAACCTGTGAGTCATTCTCCTGGTGAATACCTTTCCACTGTGGCCCTAGGGCCTAGAACCTTCTCCTGTGGACCTGACTACCAGCAACAGAGAAGTTTACTTCTTGCAGATGAGCTCAGTTCTGTGCTAATGAGCTCTTCTTTCCCCACTGCTGCCCCCAGACATGGCTGCATAAACCTTCGCCAGCCAACCTTTGCTGTGGAGGGCAACCATGGTGAAATCCACCGCCATTGGCCTTGAACAGAGACGGTGTCCTGGCTGAGAAGTTAGAGGGAGGAGAAGTGTCTAGTCTTCATAGCTTTCCAAAATGGTCCTGTCCTGTGTGGCAGGGTGTTTCTAGGGTAATAGAGTTTCAGTTATACTGTGGCCTGATTGATATCCAAACACTCCATGGAACTTTTTTTCTAGAAAAAAAATGTGTGGCTACCAATAAATTCATAAACAAATTGATAGGTAATTCTTTTGTAATTTGGGGTAGACCGCCTGGTCCAATATTTTAAAGCTATTGTAGCATAGTTATTTTTAAAATAAATCACTGCCCTACCTTAAGTCAATTTCTCCCAACACCAGAGTGATAGTTCAAAATTATAAATGTGAGTAAACTGTAGAATGAAATTTCCAGTGTCTCTGAATGGACTGTGCTCATTGCCCTGTCATTGCCCATTGTCTTATCCATCCACTAAGATCTCACTTTCCTCCTTCTGTGACTTCCCCTTCTTTGAACGTCTCTGGGACCTGCTTGATTAGGCACTGCCTTGCGTGTTCATTTTTTTTTTTTTTTGAGTTTTGTATTGTGAAGTAGATTTTAAGTCCCATGAGTGAGAAGATGTATCTTATGCTGCTTCTGTATTGGTAGCACCATTTGGCTCACTGTTATATGTCCCAATATGAAGCTATGTTTCTCATGTTGAGTTTAGGTGATATCACATGGCTATAAAGGGGTCAGTTCTCCAACAAGACAAAACAATTCTTCATGTATATTCACCCAGCAACAAAGCATCAAAATATAAAGCAAAAACAGATAGAATACAAGGAGAAATACATGAATTCCATGTTATAGCTGGAGACTTCAACACCAGTATATCAGTAATTGACAAATCTAACAGGCAGAATATCAGTGAGGTCATAGTTGTACTGAGCAGAACCATCAATCAACTGGATGTAATTGACATTGTAGACAATTTATCTAACAACAGCAGAGTAAGCATTCTTCTCAAATTCATGCAGCTCATTCAACAGGATACACCACACTCTGGGCCATAAAACATACCTTAACAAATTTATAAGACTAGAAATCATACAAAGTTTGCTGTAAGACCACAATGAAGTTAAAATTAAAAAAAAGAAACAGATAGTCGGAAAATCCCAAAATCCTTGGAGATTAAACAATACACTTCGAAATAACACATGGGTCAAGGAATAGGTCTCAAGAGAAGCTTAAAAGTGGTTTGAATTAAATAAAAATGCAAATACAACTTTTCAAAATTTGTGGAATGCAGTAAAAACAGTGATGGGGGACATTCATAGCACTGAATGAACATATTAGAAAAAAGATATATCTAAAATCAATAATCTAGTTTCGAATTTACTATTAGAAAAAAGATATACCTAAAATCAATAATCTAGTTCCCAATTTACCTTAGGAAACTAGAAAAAAGAGAAATCCAAAATAAGCAAATGAAAAGAAATAATAATAATAAAATAAAAATTAGAACAGAAATCCAAATAAGCAGACAAAAAGAAATAATAAAAATTAGAACAGAAATCAATGAAATTGAAAGCAGAAAATCAACCCCAAAGTTGATTCTTTGAAAAGATGAATAAACTTGACAAACCTTTAGCCAGACTAAGGAAGACAGTAGAAACAATACTAACACCAGAAAATAAAGATGGGCCATTGTGATGCCATGAACATTAAAGGGATAATAAAGGATTATTATGAACAACTCTACGTCCACACATTTGATAGCCTAGATAAAATGGATCAATTCCTTGTATCAATTCCTCTATCCAGACTCTCAGAAGACACATAGGTAATCTCAATAGAACTAAGTCTGCTAAATTTTAATCAATAAGCTTCCAGCTAGGCATGGTGGCTCACACCTGTAATTACAGCACTTTGGGAGGCTGAGGCAGGAGGATCCCTTGAGTCCAGGAGTTCAAGACCAGCCTGGGCAACATAGTGAGACCCTGTCTCCACACTAACTAAAAAAATTAGCTGGACATGGTGACATGTGCCTGCAGTCCCAGCTACTTGCAAGGCTGAGGTGGGAGGATCGCTTGAGCCTGGGAGTTTGAAGCTATAGTGACCCATGATAGTGCCACTGCACTCAGCCTGGGTGACAGAGTGAAACCCTGTCTCAAAAAAACAAACAAAACAAAACAAAACAAAAACAACTTCCAAAACAGAAAGCAGCAGGCCCAAATAGATTCACAGGTGAATTCTACCAACATGTAAGGAAGAAATTATACCAATTCTCTACAATCTTTTCTAGAATGTAAAAGAAGAGAGAATAATTTCTAACTCATCCTACGAAGCCAGTATTACTCTAATATAAAAACCAAAAACATTACAAGAAAGGAAAACTATAGACTGATATCACTGATGAACGTAGACAGAATAATCCTCAACAAAATATTAGCAAATCAAATCCAGCAGTGTATTATTTCAGGCATGCAAGCCTGGTTCACCATTTGAAGGTCAATTAATGCAATCTATCACATGAACATGCTAAAGAATAAAATATATGATCATATCAATAGATGCAGAAAAAGTATTTGATAAAATTCAAACTCATTCATGACTAAAAAAAAAAAAAAAAAACTCTCCACAAACCAGGAACAAAGGGTAATTTCCTTAATTTTATAAGAAATATTTACCAAAACCCTACAGCTAACCTCATACTAAGAGTGAGAAAGTAGATGCTTTCCTGGTAACATCAGGAATAAGGCAAGGACATCCCCTCTTACACCATTTAGACTCAACATTGTTGCGATGTCCTAGCTTACACAATAAAACAAGAAAAGGAAAGAGACAACACAGTCCCTGGGTGTCTATGGAAAATTGATTCCAGGAACCTGTCTTTCATACCCAAATCCATGGATCCTTAAGTTCCTTATATAAAATGGTGTCGTATTCGCATGTAACCTACATACACCCTCCCACAAACTTTAAATTACCTCTAGATTATACTACCTAAAAATGCTATGAAAAATAGTTGTTATGCTGTATTGTTTTTTAAGTGGTATTTTTAAAATTGTCTTTTCCCAAATAGTTTGATCCATGGTTGGTTGAATTCGTGGATGCAGAACCCACATATATGAAGAGCTGATTGTAAATAGATTGGAAAGGAAGAAACAAAACCATCTTTTTTTTTTGTACATTACATGACTGTCTATGTAGAAAATCCCAAAGGATCAACGGAAGTCCTAAAACTGCTGAACAATTATAGTAAGCCTGCAGGATACAAGATTAATATAAAAATATCCATTGCCTTCCTGCATACCAATAATGAACAATTGGAATTTGAAATTTAAAACAAATTGTCATTTAAATTATTTAGCACCAAAAAGAAAGAAAGATTTAGGTTCAAATCTAACAAACCAAGTACGAGATCTATATGAAGAAAACTACAAAACTCTGTTGAAAGACATCAAAAAAGATCTAAATAAATTGAGAAATAATCCATGTTTGTGACTAGAAAAACTCAACATTGGCAAGATTTCAGTTTTTCCAGACCTGATCTACAGATTCAACACAATCCCAATCAAATCCCAGCAAGTTATATTGTAGATATCAACAAACTGATTCTAGGGTTTATATGGAAAGGCAAAAGACCCAGAATAGTCAACAAAAATATTGAAGGAGAATAATAAAGTCAGAGAAATAATGCTATACAACTTCAAGATTTACTATAAAGTTACAATAATCAAGACAGTGTAATATTGATGAAAGATTAGTGAAATAGATCTATGACATACAAGTGAGATCTCAGAAATAGATCCACATAAATAGAGTCAACTTGTCTTTGACAAAGGACAAAGACAATTCAATGGAGCAAAGATGGTCTTTTCAACTAATGATACTGGATCAACTGGACATCCACATACAAAAAAGACCTTAGACACAGACCTTACACCCTTTCTAAAAATTAACTCAAGATGGATCACAGACCTAAATGTAAAATATAAAACTATCAAACTCTAAAAGATAACATAGGAGGCCAGGCATGGTGGCTCACACCTGTAATTCCAATGCTTTGAGAGGCTGAGGCTGGAGGATCACTTGAGGCCCGGAATTTGAGACCAGCCTGGGCAACATAGTGAGACCTCGTCTCTAGAAAAAATAAAATTAGCCCAATGTGATGGTATGCATCTGTGTCCCAGCTCCTTGGGAGGCTGAGGCAGGAGGATTGCTTGAGCCTGGAAGGTCAAGGCTGCAGTGAACCGAGACTGCACCACTGCACTACAGCCTGAGTAACAGAGTGACAACCTGTCTCAAAAAAGAATTTTTTTTTTGTATAGCTGTACGATGTGTTTGTGTTTTAACAGTCAAAAGTTAAAAAACATAAAAAAGTTTATAAAAAAAAGTTACAGTGAGCTAAGGTTTATTTTTGAAGAAAAAGGATTTATAAATGTAAATTTATAAAAACATGAATTTATTAAAAAAATTTATACATTTAGGCCAGGCGCGATGGCTCATGCCTGTAATGCTTTGGGAGGCTGAGGCCAGTGGATCACCTGAGGTCAGGAGTTCGAGGCCAGCCTGGCCAACATGGCGAAACCCCGTCTCTACTAAAAACACAAACATTAGCTGGGTGTGGTGGCAGGAGCCTGTAATCCCAGCTGCCCCGGAGGCTGAGGCAGGAGAATCGCTGGAACCCAGGAGGCGGAGGCCTCAGTGAGCTGAGATTGAGCCATTGCACTTCAGCCTGGGCAACGGAGCAAGACTCTGTCTCAAAAAAAAAAAAAAAAAAAAAAAACGGGAAAGAAATAAAACAATGTACAGAGTGAATGGGCTATGTGGGCTTGAACTGGAATGATATGCCACTAGACGGCTCCGGACCTGTCCACTGGGGCCACCAGAGGGCAGCGACGGCCTGGGAAGGTGCAACCACCTGCCGCATGTGCTTCCTGCTGTTCCTTGTACCCCCAATTCAGAGCTCAAAACTTGAGTCCTCCCTGAGTTCTGGCCTGAGCTGAGTGACTTGCCTAAGTTTCAGGACAGTGACCCCGGGGGCACCCCTTTTTGGCACTGACTGGCTGAGTTCACGAAAGGCGCCTCTGAAGGGAGTGAGGTGTGACTTCCCTCCGAGTGCCTGGGACAGGACTGACCAGGCAACCAGGCAGCACTGACAAGAGGTGGGGACACCGAGCAGCTCTTTTCCTGGACCTTCCCTCCCGCTCTGTGGACTTCAGGGAGGATGCGCTTCAGAGCTCCTCACGAGTGAGCCACACGTGGAGACAGTGTGGGGGCATCCACCTCCTGGCCCATAGCACCCCACAAAAGATGTTGTTCTAGCCATAGTCTCCTGTATTGTCGCTTGCCTTGATGCTGCACCAATTCACCCCTCAACCGGGGGTACAAGAGATCACACTCTGGGAGACCAGTGGCACAATGTTTAATTTTTAAAAGGGAGCTTCAGCTCCCAGGCTGAGGCAGGTGGATTGCTCGAGGCCAGGAGTTGGAGTCCAACCTGGGCAACACCATGAGATCCCATCTAAAAAAAAAGAGAGAGAACACTTTATCCCTGCCCTTCCTAAGCCCTAATAAATTACTATGTGTGTGTGTGCACAGGTACACATGCTTGTGTGTATATATATGTGGAAAATCCAAAATTTATATGTTAAAATAATTTTGCACGGTGCAGTGGCTCACGCCTGTAATCCCAGCACTTTGGGAGGCCAAGGCGGATGGATCACTTGAGCTCAGGAGCTCTAGACCAGCCTGTGCAACATGGTGAAACCCCGTCTCTACCAAAAATAAAAAAATTAGCCAGGTGTGATGGCGCATGCCTGTGGTCCCAGCTATTCAGGAGGCTGAGGCACAAGAATCACTTGAATCTGAGAGGCAGAGGTTGCAGTGCACTGAGATGGCACCACTGTACTCCAGCCTGGGTGACAGAACGAGACTGCATCTCAAATAATAATAATGTGTTCTTCCTGTCACATGGAATCTTTATACTACAGATAAAACAACTAGGCCGGGTGTGATGGCTCACGCCTGTAATCCCAGCACTTTGGGAGGCCAAGGAGGGTGGATCACTTGAGGTCAGGAGTTCAAGACTAGTCTGGCCAACATGGTAAAACTCCATCTCTACTAAAAATACAAAAATTAGCCAGGCGTGGTGGCACACACCTGTAGTCCCAGCTACTCGGAGGACTCAGGCAGGAAAATTGCTTGAACTTGGGAGGTGGAGGCTGCAATTTATTTTATATAACAACAAAAAGGTGGCACTAACTGGCGTCTGTGCCTCTACAACATAGGTTCTAAATTAACTTGAACATTGGGTAACACAAGCCAATTGACAAAACTTGGCATTCATCAAAACTGTGGATTGAATTATGGTTATATCTTGGAATCCTATTAAATTTAATCATGGTGGCCGGGCATGGTGGCTCACGCCTGTAATCCCAGCACTTTGGGAGGCTGAGGCGGGCGGATCACGAGGTCAAGAGATCGAGACCATCCTGGACAACACAGTGAAACCCTGTCTTTACTAAAAATACAAAAATTAGCTGGGTGTGGTGGCGCGTCCCTATAATCCCAGCTGCTCAGGAGGTTGAGGTATGAGAATCTCCTGAACCCAGGAGGCAGAGGTTGCAGCGAGCCGAGATCGCGCCCCTGCACTCCAGCCTGGTGACAGAGCGAGACTCCGTCTCAAAACAAAAAACAAAAAACAAAAAAATTTAATCATGGTGTACTCCTATAATCTTAGAAAAGTCACTGAATATAAAATAGAGGAAAATTAGGTATGCCTCACTTTAACTGTAGCCTTGCCTAAATTTCCCATAGTCAAAGTAGCCATTGCCCTAAAATATCTCAGATTGCACATAGTTCCTCCAACACAATGAATAATAAATTAAAATAAGTCTTTGGCACTTACAAATTGGCTTGATAAAATACAGCCTACAGGTTCTCAGGGAAAATAGTTAATATGGCCCAATGTAAAAAAACAGGGCCTTCAAGGATTAAAATTTATTATATAAAATCTAATTAATAAAGAGATGATTATTCCCCAGTGCTTCTCCATTTGACAGCCCTGTTCTTAACTTTGCCAGTTCTCTTTTTTTTTTTTTTGAGACGGAGTCTCACTCTGTTGCCCAGGCTGGAGTGCAATGGCGCAATCTCGGCTCACTGAAACCTCCACCTCCCAGGTTCAAGTGATTCTCCCACCTCAGCCTTCTGAGTAGCTGGGATTACAGGCAGGCACCACCATACCTGGCTAATTTTGTATTTTTAGTAGAGACGGGGTTTCATCATGTTAGTCAGGCTGGACTCGAACTCCTGACCTCAGGTGATCCGTCCACCTTGGCCTCCCAAAGTGCTGGGATTACAGGTGTGAACCACTGGCCCAGCCAAACTTTGCCAGTTATTAAACCTAGAAAAAATAAATAACACCTCATGGTGATGACTCCAACCTTAACCCTGAGGTCCCATCCATTAGCCTTCATACACATTACTCAGTTTTATTAAAATAACTGACCTCATCCAATCAACAACCAGGAAATATTTTGATATTATAGATTTGGCTAATATGTTCTGCATACTGCCTCTTTTCACGGCCTCTCAGCCACAGTCTACATTCACCTCTGAAAGGACACGGTACACCACAGGGTACACAGCTTTGCCACCATGCACAGTCTTGGCAGACAGGATCTCAAATACATCTATTTTCACCCAGGAGCACAGGTATGACATTACATTAATGCCTTCCTCTCCCCAGGCTATTCATTTGACACACTCATTAAGGGCATACAAGACCAACACCTAGTCCTTTTGGGGTTCTGGTAGCAACATATTTCATATTTACACATTTTCCTTAATCTCACTGCTGCTGCTACTTACCAAGCAGTCCACCCTAAATGGAGCTTTCACCAAAAGAAGCCTCTAAGATCTGTGAAAATTAAAATCAACAGGCAGTCCTAGTAGTGCCTCCAAGATTCTTTCACTGCAAAGGCTTTGGCAACCTCTTCTCAGCCATCTCCTGTAGTCTCTGGACCACCTACAATAGCCATAAGTTGCCCAGAGGCTTCTGATGCAGGAAACTGCCCCTTTCAGCCTTGTGCTATACTCCATTAAAACAAATGCACAGCTAATGCTAGACGCCTTTTTTTTTTTTTGACAGGGTTTCTCTGTCGTCCAGGCTGGAATGCAGTGGCACCATCACGGTTCACTACAGCCTCAACCTCCTGGGCTTAAGAGATCCTTCCACCACAGCCTCCCCAGTAGCTGGGACTACAGATGTGCACCACCATGCTGGTAGAGACTGGGTTTTACCACATTGCCCAGGCTGGTCTTGAACTCCAGGCTCAAGCAATCCTCCTGCCTTGGCTCCCCAAAGTGCTGGGATTACATGCGTGAGCCACCGCGCCCGGCCTTGGACTGTCTTGGAAACAGAGAGAGGCTCTCATAGACCTTGAACTTGTGACCCTCCATCATAAAAATGATGGTGCTCCATGGAATGTAGCTGCTTTCCATCCCTTATCCAGGATGTCCCCGATAATGGATGAGACAGCTCAGGCAGTCAGCACTGGGTGCCCTGGCCAAAAAATGGCCCCATCTCCACAGACATTGCAAATTCTTGGGCCATTGCCTAGGAGTTGTCCCTTTCAGGGTAAAAAACTCTTGGAATCTCTTGCCTGACGTATTCCCAAAATGTAAATCAAAACCATACTTTTCTGCATGTACTAAGGTCACAGTGCAAGGTCCTGCCAGGACACTCCTGATCTCCTTCTGAGTTACAGACACTACTGTTAGTAACCAAGGCATGCACTACACTTCTCAAAGTATACTGGGCTCTTGAAAAAGGCATTCCATAGAAATGTCATATCCCTGATAAGTCCCAGATTAGCTGCTTTGACTGAGAGATGCAACATTCTCCTCAAATGAGTCCTCTTCAAGTTTCAGTCTGGAAAGTGGGTCTCGGTCTTGCCTCAGACTTTAATTTCTCTTAATTCAAGCCACTCAGCCAACTCACACCTTACACCAAGTTAAAGAAAAAATGTTCCCATCTTCCTTTCTTACATAGAAAAGGGAATATGTCTCTTCTTCATGTAAGGACTCATTATATATGAGACTCTTTAATTATGATTTCCCTCATCATCATAAATTTTCATTCTTACCCTCCATCCCATAAGGATGGAGGCCAGGCCAAGGGCACATACTCCCCTGGGACCCCTTAGCCATAGTGTCCCTGGGGCCAGGCAGTTGGTCATCTGATAGGGGACCCATTTGAAACTAAAACTTCTACCACCACCCAAAAAAGTAAATAAAAAATATGCTCAGTGCATGGGCACACTGCAGGCACTATGGCCTGTTGGTCCCATTACTGTTAGTCTAGGTGCTTGCATTGGTTTGTAATCCAGAGGCCCAAACTCACCAAGGAAGTCATTGTTTCAACTAGCCATGACAAATGCTGAGATTTGTCACATGCCATCAGATTTGGCTAATACAAGCCCTACAACCTATAGACTTCACTTGCTTGCCTGTCACCAACAACACAGCCCATGATAATTGGCTAAATTAGAGGATCTGCATGTAGGCTGATGTTAGAGCTCCAGCCTTAGCCACAGATATTTTAATTGGCAAACAGCCTTACATTCTATTAACCACTTACACCCAAATTAAGGCATATAATTTAAAACCTATTTGCAGCAGAACTTATTGCCCATCTGGGCAAAACTTTGGATTGTTGAGAACGTTTATATTCGACCACTCCTAATCGGGGCTTTAATTGTGCCAATCAGGCTCTGGCACAGATGGGCCTGTCCCCAGCACATGTAAAACTGCACCCACCTGAGCATGGGCATGCTATTTATAGGAGTGTTTCTCAACTGGGAGTGACGTTGCCCCCGGGGACATTTGGTTGTCACAAATTTGGAGGGAGTGCTACTGGTGTCTAGTGGGTGGAGGCTAGGGAGGCTGCTAAACCTCCCACAGCCCACAGGACAGCCCCCACAACAGAGTTATCCAGGTGCCCCAAACCTCAATAGTGCTGAGGTTGAGACACCTTGATTTATAACAGTGTTTCTTCTAGAAGTGCAAAGCTCTATAATCAAATTTCCTGGATCCCTGAAGCAAAAGTAACTTTTGAATAAAGGAAATGGCTCATTTTCAGACAACTTTTTCATTTGGTTCTTTTTATTAACTGGGAAAAATAGCCAGCAGCTATTATAATTTTCTGCTATTTACATCATGTACAATTTTATCTGACGTGGGCAGAGTGTAAATGACGTTAACTAAGTGAAAAAAAAATAATCAGCCACAAAACTTTTTTATTATGTATTGATCAGCTGAAATACTCAATCTTATGTGAAAGACATTTTCCCATTTTGCTCTTTCACAATTGTGGCTTTCTTTTCCCGTTGTTGTATATATATGCATATATTTGCATACATTTTTAAATGGGCTATAATTTGTAATTCCAACTTGGCTGTAAAAATGCAACTTTAGCCAGGTGTGGTGGCTCATGCCTGTAATCCCAGCACTTTGGAAGGCCGAGGTGGGCGAATCACTTGAGGTCAGGTAATTCGAGACCAGCCTGGTCAACGTGGTGAAACCCCATTCCTACTAATAATACAAAAATTAGCCGGGCATGGTGGCACGCACTGTCGTTCCCAGCTACTTGGGAGGCTGAGGCATGAGAATCTCTTGAACCAGGGAGGCAGAGTTTGCAGTGAGCCAAGATTTGCACCACTGCACTCCAGCCTGGTCGACAGAGTGAAACTGTGTCTCAAAAAAACAAACACAACAACAAAAAACACACAAAAATGCAACTTTATGTTTATAAATGTAGTAAGGTAATACTTTCCAAACAATATTTATTTTTTTCTTTTTTTTTGGAGATAGAGTTTCGCTCTTGTTGCCCAGGCTGGAGTGCAATGGCGCGATCTCGGCTCACTGCAACCTCCGCCTGCTGGGTTCAAGCGATTCTCCTGCCTCACACTCCCGAGTAGCTGGGATTACAGGCATGCGCCACCATGCCTGGCTAATTTTTATATTATTAGTAGAGACGGGGTTTCACCATGTTGGCCAGGCTGATCTCGAACTCCTGACCTTAGGTGATCCACCTGCCTTGGCCTCCCAAAGTGCTGGGATTATAGGCGTGAGCCACCGCGCCTGGCCCCCAAACAATATTTCTCAACAATTTCACACATGTGAATTAACAATTAGCAGTCTTGCACAATGATACTTTTCTGGTTTTATAGTGAGGGAAAACAGGATGGAGTAAGGAATAAGTATTTCCCTCAATGCTGTAAGAAGGATCAAATTCAAACACTGAAATATTTTTATTCCTCTGGTCTTCGTATACAAAATAATTTGTAAATAATTACTTCTTAGTGTAAGTAGCTAAACTGTTTTTAAAACTCAGTTCTATTGAAGTGTACTTTATATATATTAAAATTAAAAGTATACTTTAGTGAGTTTTGACTTCTTTTGTTTTTGGAGTTATTATTTAGAGCAAAATTTGTTAAATGTGGAATAAAAATATATTTAAGAAGCACAGCTTGACTACACTGTGGAAGGTTAGCAGTTCCAAAAAGTCAATAACATCTCAACCATTCTGTCAAACTAGGAGAAAGTCCAGTATGACTGAATAGGAAGAAGTTTGAATTGAGAATGTCTGTAGTTTTATTATGAATTAGGAGTTAGGGTATCCTGCTATGAAGTCACAGTACAACTGACTTTGCTTTTGAATCTCGATGTCTTCATCCGGACGGGGATGGAGACTAAAAGAGGATTAGACTAGAAGATCTCTCGGGTTCCTTGCAGCCCAAATGTGCTGTGGCTTCCAGTCCATGCTTTCAGAACAGTCACCCCAGCCACTCCCTCCTGGAATTCCTCCTCCCCGCCTGCCGTCCCTCCACATCCTCCTGCTTTCTCCTCCTCCTGCTGCTCTTGCTTGACCTCCTTCCCAGCCTCTTCTGAAATGTGGGAACAATGCAGGCTTTACCCCGGCCCTCTGATCCTGGCACTGCCCACTCTTCATGGCGGTAGCAGCCCCCTGCCTGCTGGTAATGCCCAAGTCTGTGTCTCCACCCCACCTTCCCCTCCCCGACTCCCGTGGCCCCCGGAAAACATCAGATGGCCTCAGGATATTTGTCCATGGGTGTCCAGAGGCACGTCCAACTCCCCACGCCCAGACAGACTCCTCTCCTTCTCCCTCCCACCCCACATACTGCTTCTCTCCCTGTTTTCCTTGTTTAGGTGAAAAGCACCAGCACTCATTTCAATCTCAGAATCACTCCCGGGGGTGTGTTCTTCCTGCCACACGGAATCTTTATGCTAGACATGAAACAACTAGGCTTAGGGAAGTGGAGGAGCATGTCTAAGCCACACAGCCCGCCAGGGGTGTCTGACTGCAAGGCTAGGGCCCTTGACCACTGCCCTACACGTATGTGCCCCAGCCGGGGACCCCGGGCGCTGTCCTCAATGCCTCCCCCTCACCACTCACCGCCGCCCCATTGCCAGGACCCGAGACTCACAGGGGTCTCAGGTCAGCTCCCCTGAGGACCTCTACCCCTGGCTCCATTCACCCACCCTCATCCTCGCCTGGATACATCCATCTCCTAATCAGTCTCCCGTCTTCCTCTCTTCAAGCCACACTTTTAAGTTGAGAAAAGGTGCTGTTCCTACAACACAGATCAAGCCACTCCCTTGCTTGAAACACTCCAGTGGCAGTCCACAGCTTCTGGGACAAGAGCCAGCCTGTCACCCAGAGCAGCCCCATCTGCTTCTCCAGCCTCACAGCTGTCCTCGTTATTCTCAGATCCTGTATTTGCGAATTTGCCTCTTTGATAAAATGTGCTTGTAAGCCCCAAGTCAATGCTCACGGTTTTTTCGTGGTCATTTACACACATACACAGAGTGGCTAAAAACATGAGTTTCTCGACGTTGGTGCTCTTAGCTGAGGCTGAACAAGGTGATGCTCTGACTTGCTGTTCCAGTGCTCATAGTGTAAAGCAAGCGTCCTTTCCACTGTCTATTCAGTGACTCGTTTTCCATATATGTGTGCTTTTTGTTGGTAATTTTCTATCTCAAGCGGTTCCTATGTAAACTGTTGAAGTGCTTTCTGTTTTTTGGGGGGTTTTGTTTTGTTTTGTTTTGAGACGGAGTCTTCCTCTGTCACCCAGGCTGGAGTGCAGTGGCATGATCTCGGCTCACTGCAACCTGTGCCTCCCAAGTTCAAGCAACTCTCCTCTTTCAGCCTCCTGAGTAGTGGGGACTACAGGTGCGTGCCACCATGCCCGGTTAATTTTTGTATTTTTAGTGGAGACGGGTTTTCACTATGTCGGCCAGGCTGGTCTCGAACTCCTGACCTCAGGTGATTTGCCTGCCTTGGCCTCCCAAAGTGCTGGGATTACAGGCACGAGCCATGGCCCTGAAGTGCTTTCTAGTGTCCCTAAGTGCAAGAGGCTGTGATGTGCCTTATGGAGAAAATATTGTGTGGTAGATAAGATTTGTGTGGGCGTGAGTTACAGGGCTATTGGCTGTGAGTGCAATGTTAATGAATCAACCATATACGTTAAGCAAGGTATGTTCTGTTTCACGAAACAGAAACACACAAACAAGGTTATGTTGATCAGTTAACGTTAATGTAACCAGAGACTCGAAGGAACCTAACCCTGTATTTCTCTTGGGAGCAATATTTTATTATTTGCTAGTTCAGTGTTTGCAATGACTTTACAGACCATAACAATGACTTTATAGACCATAATGAGAATTGGCTATATTTTCTCCTAGTCTGTGCCTTGTCTTTTCATTTTCTAAATGGTATTTTTTTGAAGAGCAAAAGTTTTTAATTTTTTTGAAATCTACTTAATTTTTTCTAATTTAATGGCGTGTGCTTTTTATGCACTAAGAAATCTTTGCCTAATTCAATGAGGCCACAAAGACTTTCTTCTATGTTCTCTTGCAGAAGTTTTATAGTTTTAGCTCTTACCTTTAGGTCTATGATGCATTCTGAGTTATTATTTGTATATGACATGAAAGTCAAGGCTTTTGTTTATTTGTTTTTGGCACTATTTGTTGCAAAGTCTATCCTCTCCTCATTGAATTATTTGACCAAGTACCTTTGTAAAAAATAAATTGACTATATATATGAGATTCTATTTCTGGACTCTATATTTAGACACAATGGAGATTGGCATTTCTATCCACACTATCTTGAAGTTTTGAAATCAGGTAGGATAAGTCCTTCAACTTTCTTTTTCAAAATTGCTTTTGCTATTCTTGGTCCTTTGCATTTCCATAAAAATTTTAGAATCGGCTTATACATTTCTATTTAAACACCTGCTGGGATTTTGGTTTAGAGTGCACTGAACCTTTTGAGAGGCCATTTGTGAGGGAATTAACATTTTAATATTAAGTCTTAATTCAAGAATATGATATATCTTCAATTACTTAAGTCTTCTGAAATTTCTTTCAGGATTTTCTTGTAGTTTTTAGTATACAAGTCTTGCACACATTTTATTTAATATTTCCCGGTTTTATTTCATTTGTTATTTATTTATTTATTTAGAGACAGAGTCTCGATCTGTCACCCAGGCTGGAGTGCAGTGGCACAACCTCGGCTCACTGCAACCTCTGCCTCCCGGCCTCAAGCAATTCTTGTGCCTAAGCCTCCCAAGTAGCTGGGATTACATGTGCATGCCACCATGCCCAGCTAATTTTTGTATTTTTAGAAGAGATGGGTTTTCACCATGTTGGCAAGGCTGGTCTCAAACTCCTGACCTCAAGTGATCCACTCACCTAGGCCTCCCAAAGTGCTGGGATTACAGGTGTGAGACACCCCTCCTCACACCTGGTTTTATATTTTTGATGCAATTTAAAATTTCCTTTTCATAATTGAGATTTTATTAGTTTTTTTTTTTGAGCATCAGTACTCAGACATTATGAACAATCTGCACACAATTATTAATATAAATACTGAAATTCTAGAAAGCCTTGTAGCTATAATCTTTTCTGCAGTTATTCCAGGGACTTTCTAGCTTAAATTCTAAAGGCAATTTGTCCTTATGAGGATGTTAACAACAACACATATCTTCTGCTAGTGATAAGCTCTTAGATGGTAAATCACACTAATTTACAACTTAGCACCATGTACACTATATGCTCAAAACTCTCAATCCGGCTGGGCGCGCTGGCTCACACCTGTAATCCTAGCACTTTAGGAGGCCGAGGCAGGTGGATCATCTGAGGTTGGGAGTTCAAGATGAGCTTGAACAACATGGAGAAACCCCATCTCTACTAACAAAATACAAAATTAGCCAGGCATGGTGGTGCATGCCTGTAATCCCAGCTACTCAGGATGCTGAGGCAGCAGAATCGCTTGAATCTGGGAGGCAGAGGTTGCGACGAGCTGAGATGGTGCCATTGCACTCCAGCTTGGGCAACAAGAGCAAGACTCCATCTCAAAAAAACAAAAACAAAGACAAAAACAAAAAAAATCTCAATTCTTCACAGCACATTAGCAAAATTATTAGGACAAACTGGACTACCACAACCAAATATGTCACAGAGAGCACCCAGTTCTGCCAGGGAAGCCAAGATCAGGGCGCAGTTTTCTGCTCCACGAACAACCAACGTGGAAAGAGAAGTTAAGGAATTTAAAATGTTTGAACATTTAAATTCATGATTGTGACTCAAAATTGCCATTTCTTTTTTGTATTATAGGATACAAAAACTCTCCTCACACCAACTTATGGAATTACTAATTTAACATCCAAACATTCAACACCTCCCTTATTTCAACATCCCACTATTTTCTGGTTGTTGCAGAAAAACAACCAGCGCTTAATTTTACATCTTCAAAAAATGGACATTTCCACTTATTTACAAATGTTTTTTAAAAAGATGATGTATAATTCCTTCTTTCTTAAAAAATATATTTCTAGAATTCTAGAAGCTAACATTTATACAATAGCTGGAAACCGATTTCTCTAGATTCAAAAATATGGCAGACTGAAGTCAACAGATGAGACTTAGTACGGGACGTTAATCAGATTTGGCTTCCTTCTCTCTTTCTTCAGAGGCTGGACTCTACTGGTTTTCAGTTTCTCTGTGTTTGTAGGTGAGTCTTCTTCAGTTTCTTGGTTGGCCACTTTGTTCTTTTGCTTCCATTTTGCCTTTTGTTCCTGCATTTTTTGTCTGAAGAGTTATCCTTTCTGGCAGCCTTTTGTGGCTTAACTTGCACTTTTGCAGGAATAGGTGTGGCTGACAGCCTTGTCCCACTCCCCTTGGGCCCATCCTCTGCTGCCCCCCCACCCCCAGCTTCACTGACCTTCCCTTGGGCATCATGGGGTGCTTTTGATGGGGAAGGAGGCTGCCTGGCTGTAGAGCGGGGAAGCCTTTGTAAAGCAGGTGCTCCCTCACCCAAGCTGTGGGAACCTGCTGATTCTCTTTTTCTTTTTTCTTCTTTATTTTTTAGAAAAGTTTTCGGGGGCAGGCACAGTGGCTCATGGCTGTAATCCCAGCACTTTGGGAGGCCGAGGCAGGTGGATCACTTGAGGCCAGGAGTTTGAGACCAGCCTGGGCAACATGGTGAAACCCTATCTCTACTAAAAATACAAAAATGAGGTGGGCATGGTGGCGCATGCCTGTAATCCCAGCTACTCAGGAGGCTGAGGCAGGAGAATCGCTTGAACCCGGGAGGCGGAGGTTACAGTGAGCTAAGATGGTGCCACTGCACTCCAGCCTGGGCGACAGAGTGAGACCCTGTTTCCAAAAAAAAGAAAAGAAAAGAAAAGAAAAGTTTTCAGTTCACAGCAAGATGGAGAGGAGGCAATGGAGACAGGCCGTACACCTACAGCCTCCACACAGGCACACCCTCCCCCACCATCAACGCTTTGCACTATGTGATGCGTTTGCTACAACTGATGGCCCTCCATTACCACATCATCATCATCATCGTCCCCCCAAGTCCATAGTTCATGTTAGGGTTCACGCTGTATGTGGTACTTTCTATGGGTTTGGACAAATTTATAATGACACATTGTAAGGAAAAATTGTATTTTTCTATCTACACTCACAGAATACTTCTGGCCATCAAATGTGTGGGTTTTTTGGAATGTCCTACAACTCAATTGACTTCAGATACTGTCTACTTAGAGTTGGTGCGGACCCCACAGGTTAAGTGCTCAGTCCCACAGGAATGCTCCCCTACTTCAGTTGCCAGAGGCAAGTCCAGACTGTCACCTGTGCTTCCAAGCTTCTGCCTGTAAATCAGAAACGGCCTCTATCCCCTCCTCAAGTTTGAAAATTTGCTAGAGCAGCTCACAGAACTACTAGAGTACCTGTTTACTATAAAAGGATACAACAGCCAGATGGAGATGCACACAGCAGCACATGGGGAAAGGGTCAAGGAGCTTCCACACCTTCTTCAGGTGAGCCCCCTCCACATGTTCACCCACTGAAAGCTCTCAGAACCCCGTCCTTTTGATTTTTGATGAAGGCATCCACACACACACACACATGATCAAGTCATTGGCCGTTGGCGATGGACTCAACTCTCAGCCCCTCTCTACCCCCAGGACTGGTCAGTGGGCTAAAAATTACAAACCTCTCATCGCCTGGCTGGTTCCCCTGGAGACCTGCCCCCATCCTGAGGCTATCCAGGAGCCCCCAGCCACCAGTCACTTCATTAGTATACAAAAGACCTTGATCACTCTGGGATTCCAAGGGTTTAGGAGTTGTGTGCCAGGAAATGGGGGCAGAGAGTAAATATAGTCGTTCAGTGCAGAGGATGTTTAGGTCAAGGCTGGGCATAGTGGCTCATATCTGTAATCCCAACATTTTGGGAGGCCGAAGTGGGTGAATTGCTTGAGGCCAGGAGTTCAAGATCATCCTAGGCAACACGGTGAAACCTTATCTCTACAAAAAATACAAAATTAGTTGGGTGTGGTAGTGAGCGCCTGTAGTCTCAGCTACGCAGGAGACTGAGGTAGGAGGATCACTTGAACGCCAAAGGCAGAGGTTGCAGTGAGCCAAGATTGCACCACTACACTCCAGCCTGGGCAACAGAGCAAGACACTGTCTCAAAAGAAAAGGATGTTTAGTTCAATGACGGACCACATATACCATAGTGATCCTGAGACAGCCAGGTGGGAGGGGGTCCCGGGAGAAACTCCAATCAGCCTGCCCACTTTGCAGCGGGGAGGAGCCTGGCCCCTCCTCTTCCTGTGTGGAACCTGGGATTCAGGGATTCAAGCTGCATGCGGGAAGTGCACTAGCAGGGATTCTGGCCTAGCGAGAGTCCCTGTTTCCCCCTTTCCTTCCTTTTCATCCAATAAAACCCTGTCTTACTCACCATTCAAATTGTTTGCAAGCCTGAATTTTTATGGCCATGGGACAAAGAACCCTGTCTTTAGCTGAACTAAGAAAAAGTCCTGCAACAATACCATAAGATTGTAATGGAGCTGAAAGTTTTCTGTCATCTAGTGATGTTGTAGGTGTTGAAACATCCAAGACCAACCCATTACCTTTTCTATGTTTGGATATGCAAATACTCGCCATTGTGTTATAATTGACTATAGTATTCAGCACAGTAACATGCTGCACATGTGATAGTAGGTAGCTAGCCAGGCATGAGTGGGGCAGGAGAGGGCTCCCTCCCCCCACCTACCAGGAATGTCAAGTGATCATCAGGTGATAGTCAGGCAGTTGTCACAGTGCCTCTCTAAAAATAATAATTGGCAGCTGGAGCCAGGGAGAGGCAATTTCCTGATGGCCCACAACTGTCACACTAGAGCGATAATTGGTCACAGGCCCAGGGAGAGGCAATTTCACAATATATAAAAAATACTTGAAATTGGTAATTGGCAGCTCAGGAATTCGGTGAGTAGGCTCAGGCATGCACATTAAGAAACAAAATGGCGAAGAAGGACCTTCCTGGGACATTCCGCCAGGGAAGGGAAGGAAGCCTCAGGCAAGCATGCATACAACTCCAGTAAACACACTGCGCATGCTCACCTCCCAAGTATTAACAGGCCACCACACGTGCAGGCAGCCCACCCTAAGGGAGGAACCATGGAAAAGGGATGCAAGACCCTGGAAATATGCCAACATATAAAACCCCGAGTCAAAAAGTCAAATGCCACACTTGACCTTCAAAGTGTCCACTTGGATCTCTTCCAACGGTACTTTCCTTTCTTTGCTACTCTACAGCTTCTTAATAAACTTCCACTCCTGCTCTGAAACTTGCCTCGGTCTCTTTTTCTGCCTTATACCCCTCAATTGAATTCTTTCTTCTGAGGAGGCAAGAATTGAGGTTGCTCCATATGGATTTGCCACCGGTAAATCAGATATTCGCCACCTCTAACATACAGGTTTGTAGCCTAGGAGCAATAGGCTCTACCATGTAGCTGTAAACCAAAAGTCAAATTCTAAGCAACCCCAGCCAATGGAATGGACTCCTCCTCCTGGCCAAGGGCATTCTAAAGTAAATCTGAAACACTAGTTCAGGCCATGATGGGAAGCGGGAGTCGGACACGCCTCATTACACCTTTCTCCCTTTGGGATTCAGGTGCAGCTGGCCAGCATTAACATTAAAATAGAGACTTTGCAAATGACACAACAGACTCTGTAGCAATAAGATACCAACATGACAGATAGCAGACCCTGAAAGAAATCAAAGTATTTTACCCCAAAATATATTTCTTTGACATATTTTGAAATGGCCCTGAAAAGTTGTCTCTTGTAGGGGAAATCTATATTCTGTAAAGAATCCTCCTCCATTTCCAGGTCTTTTCCTGATCTAGGAGAGAATTAACTAAGACTCTGGTACCTTTTTTTTTTCTGAGGTGGAGTTTCGCTCTTGTTGCCCGGGCTGGAGTGCAATGGTGCGATCTCGGCTCACTGCAATCTCTGCCTCCTGGGTTCAAGTGATTCTCCTGCCTCAGCCTCCCGAGTGGCTGGGATTACAGGCAGGCACCACCATACCCAGCTAATTTTGTATTTTTAGTAGAGATGGGGTTTCACCATGTTGGTCAGGCTGGTCTTGAACTCCTGACCTCAGGTGATCTGCCCACCTCAGCCTCCCAAAGTGTTGGGATTACAGGCGTGAGCCACTGTGCCTGGCGAGTCTAGTATCTTTTTACGTCTGATAAAAAACATTTGCAATCTATTCTCTCTGAAACCTGCTACCTGGAGGTCTGGAGGCTTCATCTGCATAATAAGAACCTTGGTCTCCACAACCCCTTATCTTATCCCAGATACTCCCTTCTGTTGATTCCACGTCTTTAGATAAATTTTAGAAAATTTTTGAATCCAGCTATGACCTGAAAGCCCACCTACTTTCAAGTTGTCCTCCACCTTTGAGTTGTTCCACCTTTCCAGACCAAAAAAATGTATAACTCACAGGTATTGGTTGATGTTTCATGTCTCATTATGAAATGTATAAAACCAAGCTGTAGCCTGATGGTATGGGCACATGTTCTCAGGATCTTCTGGGGCTGTGTCACGGGCCATGGTCACTCACATTTGGCTCAGAATAAATCTCTTCAAATATTTTACACAATTTGACTCTTTTCAATCACATAGCCTAGATGTGTAGTGGGCTATACCATCTAGGTTTGTGTGTATACATTCTATGATGTTTGAACAATGAAATTGCCTAACAACACATTTCTTAGAAGCTATCCCTGTCATTCAGTGATGTATGATTGTATATATTTTTTCTTATGTCACAGATGTATCCACCATTATGGTATCATACAGATTAGTTTCACTTACCTAAAAATCCTCTGTGTCTTCCCTGTCCTCTAACCCTGGGCAACCACTGATTATTTTACTGTGTCCATAGTTTTGCCTCTCACAGAAATCTCCTGTAGCAGAAATTGTACAGGATATAGCCTTTTCAAATTTGCTTATCTCACTTCTAATATGCATTTAAGTTTCCACCATGTCTTTTCATGGTTGCCAAGACCAGCTCAGTCTGGGGAGACCCTAACCCAGTGGTGCTAGAGGAATTAAAGACACACACACAGAAATATTGAGGTGTGGAGTGGGAAATCAGGGGTCTCACAGCCTTCAGAGCTGAGAGCTCTGAATAGAGATTTACCCACGTATTTACTGACAGCAAGCCAGTGGTAAGCATTGTTTGTATAGATTATAGATTAACTAAAAGTATTCCTTATGGGAAATGAAGGGATGGGCCAAAATGAAGGGTTAGGTTTGGCTAGTTATCTGCAGCAGGAGCATGTCCTTAAGGCACAGATCACTCATGCTATTGTTGGTGTTTTAAGAATGCTTTTAAGCGGTTTTCCGCCCTGGGTGGGCCAGGTGTTCCTTGCCCTCATTCTGGTAAACCCACAACCTTCCAGCGTGGGTGTCATGACCATCATGAACATGTCACAGTGCTGCAGAGATTTTCTTTATGGCAAGTTTTGGGGCCAGTTTATGGCCAGATTTTGGGGGGCCTGTTCCCAATAATGGTTTGACAGCTCACTTCTTTTAGCAATGGATAATATTTCATTGTCTGGAAGTACCACAGTTTATTTATTAACTCACCTACTAAAGAATGTTTTGGTTGCCTCCAAGTTTTGGCAATTATAAATAAAGCTGCTATAAACATCCATGTGCAGGTTTTTAAGTGGACCTAAATTTTCAACTTCACTGAGTAAGTATCAAAGAACATGGCTGCTTGTATGAATGTTTAGTTTTATAGGAACCTGCCAAACGGCCTTCTAAGTGATTGTACTGTTTTGCATTCTCACCAGCAATGATTGAAAGTTCCTGTTGTGTCACATCCTCTCCAGCATTTGGTGTTGTTAGAGTTTGCATTTTAGCTATTCTAATAGGTGCATAGCAGTATCTCATTGTTTTAGTTTCCAGTTGCTAATGACAGATGATGCTGAGCATCTTTTCATATGATTATTTTCCATCTCTATATCTTTTTTGGTGAGAAATATGTTCAGATTTGTTCCCGATTTTATAACTGGGTTAATTGTTTTCTTATTGTTGAGTCTTAATTATTTTTATGTTTGTTTTGCATATTTTGGATAACAGTCCTTTATCAGATACGTGTTTTGCAAATTTTTCTCCAGAAAAAAATATGTACTTTTTTCTAATTTGGTCTTGAGGACTCTCTCTGCAGAGTGGCTATAAACTCTAGCCTCACCCTACTGGAGCTCCAGCAGGTTTGGTTGTGGATGTTTGCAATGTGCCTTTTGGGGGGTACTTCTTTATCCTGGCAGATGGCCTAATGCCAAAGTGTCTGATCTGTGAGGAGGTATCCTTCTCACACAACAAACCTGTTTATACTGGCAGACTCCCTTGGGACTCTGGTCTGAACTGTGTCTAGTTTATTCCTATGAACATAGCCACTGTCTAGGAGAGCCCTAACTAGGAAAGAAGTTAGGTTTGGGCGTGTTAATCAGGTGAGACCCAGAGGAGGCAACCCAATAAAACACACGGAATACCAGGAGCCGTGTATTACTTACAGGTCCCAGAGAGAACAGGGCAGCATGCCTCACAGGGCCAAGGGAAAGGGGGAAGCCATCCTGGACACACACACTCAACCAGCATGTGGCGAGCAAGAGAGGCGTGGGGAGGGACTGGCGGGCCAGGCTTTATTCAAGTCTAAGATGTGAAACGGGCAGGTTTCTCGTGGGGAGTTCAAATTAGTGGCTTCACAGCAAGCAGGCATGAATTCTGAGTTCTGCTGTGACTGAGAGGTGGTCACTGTGGAATATCTGTGTTGTCCATGCAGAATGTGGGGGTCAGTGGAGTGCTTCAAGCAAGTTGTATCTAGCTGTCCCATAGAGAGGTGGTCACCAGGAGGTGGTTGTATGGGGCAGATATTTGGATCAAGCACCTTGAGGAACTGGGAGGAGGTGGAGAACTGGAAACCACATCAAAGGTGGTTGAGCCCTGCTTCTTGTATGAGAATGAAAACGGAAATTGAGGTAACATCAAATGAAAGGAATTGACTGCACACTCTATTGCTGGTTTTTGCATTTTCTTAACTGGCTGTCACAGACTGAAGTTTTAATTTTAATGAAGTACAACTTATCAATGTTTTCTTTCATGGCTTGTGCTTTTGGTGTTTTAATTTTAATGAAGTACAGCTTATCAATGTTTTCTTTCATGGATTGTGCTTTTGGTGTTGTATCTAAGAAGTCATTGAAGGAATCATGGTAATCTGTATTCTCTCTGATGTTACTTTTTAGGAGTTTTATAGTTTTTCATTTTACTATTAGGTCTCTGATCTATTTGGAGTTAGTTTTTGTGAAGGGTGCAAAGACTATATATAAAGTTATATATATAGTTATATATATATATATATATATATATATATATATATATATATATATATATATAGTTATGGGGATATATATGCATTTGAACACCCGGTTTATAAACCGAAAACAAAATTCTAAGCCCCCAAACCATCTGAATGGAACCCTCCTCTTAGCAAGGGCGTTCGAAAGGTAACCTGAAAAGCGAGTTCAAGTCATGATGGGAAGCGGAGGTCAGACATGCCTCATTACATCCTCCTCCCTTTTGAAATTACTAATAGAACAGATTCTTTAAGTCTGATGAGAAATACAATCTATTCTCTCTGAAGCCTTCTACCAGGAGGCTTCATCTGTGTGATAAAACCTTGGTTTCCACAACCACTTATCTTAACCCAGACATTCCTAAGTCTTCAGACAATAACTTGACTCTCTCAACCAATTGCCAATCAGAAAATCTTTGAATCTACCTGTGACCTGGAAGCCCTTCAGCTTCCCGTTGTCCTGTCTTTCTGGACTGAATCAATGTACGTGTTATATGTATTTGATTGATGTCTCTTGTCTCATAAAATGTGTAAAATCGGTTCTCCGCTGCTCTCTGAGCTTCACAAGGGCACCCAAGGACAACAAGAAGAAGAAAGATGCCAAAAAGTTGGGCAAGAAAGACAAAGACCCAGTGAACAAATCCTGGGGCAAAGCCAAAATGAAGAAGTGATCCAAAGGCAAAGTTCGGGACAAGCTCAATAACTTAGTCTTGTTTGACAAAGCTACTTATGACAAACTCTGTAAGGAAGTTCCCAACTATAAACTTAGAGCTCCAGCTGTGGTCTCTAAGAGACTAAAGATTCGAGGTTCCCTGGCCAGAGCAGCCCTTCAGGAGCTCCTTAGTAAAGGACTTAACAAACTGTTTCAAAGCACAGAGTTCAAGTAATTTACACCAGAAATACCAAGGGCGGGGATGCTCCAGCTGCTGGTGAAGATGCATGAACAGGTTCAACCAATTGTACATTTGGAAAAATAAAACTTTATTAAATAAAAAAACAAAATAAAATAAAATGTATAAAACCAAGCTGTACCCTGACCCCACCTTGGGCACGTGTTCTCAGGATCTCCTGAGGGCTATGCCATGAGCCATTAGTCACTCATATTTGGCTCAGAACAAATCTCCTCAAATATTTACAGAGTTTGACTCTTTTGTGGACAAGTTGTTCCAGCTCTATTAGTTGAAAAGATGACCTTTGTTCCATTGAAATGTCTTTGTTCCTTTATTGAAGATCAGCTGACTATATTTATGTAAGTCTATTTCCAGGTTTTCTATTTTGTTCCATTGATCTTTTTCTCTGTTCTTTCACCAATACCACACTGCCTTCATTACCATAGCTTTATAGTAAATCTTGGAGTTGGATCCAGTGGTCCTTTTAAATAATAGTTACCATGAGTTAATCTTGACTATGTAGCAGGCACATCCATGGGCAATGAATAATGTATGTTCATTATCTCATGAACACAGCGACTCTGCAAGGTAGCATTCGTTATGTCTGTTTTACAGATTAGGAGGTAGGCTAAAGGAGTTAGTGTAATTTTTCCGAAGTCCTGAAGCTCGTCAGTGACAGAGCTTGGATTTGGAGTCTGTCCAGCCCTTTCCACCTATTCTTACTCCCTTGGCTTCCCACCCACTCTCATTTGCTGACTCACTGCCTATGAGGTAGTGTCTTTTGGCTTCCAAACTAGAGATTGGCAAGCACTGAGGAATGTTATAGGTCCCTAAAGCAAAACATAGGACAGACAGATGCTTAGAAAATTACTAAATATCATTTCCTTATTTGCAAGTAAAAAATCTCCCTTTCCATTTGCCCACTTAAGGCAAACTGCTTTTGTTTGTTTTTAAACAAAATTTTAGCCTCTAAGCTCTGCCAGAGACCTGGAGGGTGTGAAATTGTCTAAAGACCTATTATAGCAAGTGGAGAGCCTTTTCTCCTAAGTCCAGCTTCAGACCAAGGTGGCTTCTGCCGCTCTGATTTGTGTTTGTCTCTGTGATTTGTGCATTTCCAGGCCCCTCTGCTAGAGTACAGCATGCTTTCAAGCTAGGCTCTTTGGGCCTATGATTTTGACAATGTTCTGGCAGGTCTCAATAGAAACACTCCTGCTCGGAAATATTTTAATGGTAGGTGGAATAAGACAAATGACATATTTAGTGTAGAGTCTAGGACATAATAAGTGCTCACTAAACATTAGGCAACATTGTTAAGATTATGATTTTTGCTTGTCAGTCTCAAAATGTACTCCCTGTATATCCTTCATGATGCCTCGCTGTGACTATGGAGATGCTGCTTCATTGTCCTGTTTTGTTCCATTCATATATTGCCACTTCCAACATTCTGTTTCAAGTCACATTGAAGTCAGCATTCATTTGGCTGACAGCCTATCACAGGGCATCTTTCTGCATAAAATGAACCAATTTATAGTCATTGCTGACAGCTGTTTTTGAAGGAAAGACCATTTTCCTTAGTTGATTAGAGGAACAGTGATTAATTCAGCCCATCAGCCTGCAGCAGCAAATGCTAAAAAGGGCCTCGTTGTGTAAAGCCCCCCAAGTCTCTTAAAACCTACATTTTTGAATTTGTCAGAACTTCCTGAGCCCAGACTGGACCTCCAGAGGTCACTTAATGTACCCCTGGCCTCCTACACTATTTTTAAAGACCTCTGAAAAAAGACAGCTCCTGTTTCTCCTTGGCAGTGAGCCACCAGTGGGGGTGAATTTGGCAGCATCTCTGCTTCGGGATTCTGTGGACATTAGAGCGGGGGCCCTGCCTCAAAAAGTGACTCACTAGTGCCTGAAAGGCGATAAAGTCTGGTGACACATCACAGGGAATGTTTAAAGTGCATAGGGAGAGATTGTTTTCTTTCCCCCTCCTTGCACCTAGCAGGGAGAGGAGTGTGCGGAAAGATGGAGTTGAGACAGAAACTTGTTAGCATAACACCGAAGGAGTTTTGCTGTGAGTAGCATCAGCATAGCAGGAGAACATCCCTAGCTCTCCTGCCGCTGCTCTGCCACAAGGAGAGAAAGGGAAAAGCAAATTCAGCAGGACCTCTAGGACTTTGCTGTAGATCTCCAGGTGGAGCCAGGACCCTCCAGGAGAACTGATGGCTAGAAAAGACTGCAAGTAATGTGGAGGAAGGAAGAAGAGAGAGAGCAGAGAGAGATGATTCTTGCAAACATTGATCTGTGTAGAGCGGATGTCAACTTGATGGGATAAGACCTGGGTTGACTTGGTATCTGGGTTCAGGTCAGCAAACTCTAACGGCATTTCCTTCTACTAGCAGACAGATCTGCTCATCCTGCGACATTGTGGACAGTGCTGAATGGCTTCCAGAACATTCCTCTTATGTCTACTGGTTAAACTTTGAAGCATCTGAACCATTTGGGAGAGCAGGGACCCCCATGAACAGGAGATACTGGAGGTGTCTGAGGCCACTTCATGCCCTTTCTCAAGAGTGGCCTGCAGGTCTTTCAGCCACTGGCCACTGAAGTCCAGCTCCTGCCAGCCATGGATTTGGGCACTGGGCTCCAGTGTTGAGAAAGTTCTTGACTTCCAGCGCTTGTTTTCCTAGTGGACAATAGGAGTCAGAGACAGAGAGGGAGAGTGAAGATGCAGAAGACATATCCTTTCCATTGTGACCCAGATAAGAATGTAGCCGGTGAGCTTGCTTCCTGTCACTCATTTCCCAGCTATTTGTTGTAGTCCAAGTTGTGCATATTCTTTCTGTTAGGTTCTTATGTTTGTCTTAAGCTCACCCATCTTTTCTTCTTCCCTCATTTTTTCTTTATAAATCAAGAAAAATTCTGCCACTTTCTTTCCCTGGCTCACTGCACAGCCAATCAATAATTTTGAATCCTTTGTGTATCAATTTCTACTGGCTATTCATTATTTGTGGAAACCATATTAACGGGTCCATAAAAATCACAGCAATCCATTTGTTAAATTCATCATAAGAACAGATTACATCTTTCTGGCCAAGTTTCATGGTTTGGTAATATCATATTTTGGTTTTAGAATTTATAAGGTGCATTCTCCCATACTTTTCAAGTATATTTTTTATTCATTGCCCTCTCTGAATTAGGCATTTTTGGGGATGCACGTTTTACAGATATGGAGACAATGGTTCAGAGAAATCAGCTTGTTCACAGTGGGGCCAGAGCTGGGACCTAGGGCTTCTGACTCTATGTCTCAGGTCATTCCTATCACACACACACTGAAGGAGAAAAGAGTTCCCTTGTCTGGAGAAGACATATCAAATTCATGCGGGTTAAACACAGAAATTCCAAATAGCTGTAGTTTTTGTAAAAATGGTTGAGCTATGGACTTTTAAAGTAGTTGGCCACCTGTGGTGGTGGGTGGAAGGGAGTTAGGGCAGGATTGTTGTGCTTCAGGGAGGATTCAGTGTCTGCACGACCACGGAGGGGGGTGCAGGGCACCAGGTATCCAGGACTGTTGTCAAGAGTTATGCTTTGAATTTCCCAGAGAAGACACACTGCTGCGAAAGGAAGAAATCGTTGGTTTTTCTCCAACTGCTTAGCTGTTAAGAAGCAAGAAGCCTATCTCCAAGGCAGCAGCAGGCCTCAGAGAAAACAGTAGGACCCTTCCTTCAAACAAAGGAGAAAACTCCCACAACTCAAAGCAAGTGCCCCCTGGTCATTCTCTCAAAAAGCTACAGGCTCCAAAAAAAGACAGACTTCACAGGCTAGAGACGGGCTCTGCACTCAGGGTTGGTGGTCGGGGGCACAGAGCTGGCTGGGCAGGGCCAGAGGGGACCACATTCTGCCACATGCAGAGCAAAGCAGTATCTTTCTATTACTGGTCAATGTAATATGAGCTGGGAATGAGCAATTTCATACCTTTTTCTGAGATATTAAAAAGAAATACGCTGATGTGGCTGGAGGTAATTTCCCAAAGCCTGTGGATGGAGTTGATGTCAGTAACTGGCTATGAGGTTGTTATTTACAGGACTGTTTGATCCCACTGAAGTAGTGGTGCTTAATATGTAGCTCAATGTGGCTCAGGAGCGAGGCCCAATACTGCATATAAACCACCATCCTGCAATTTATCCAGAGAGCATGTGGGAGGTGAACCTTGAATCATTTGCTTGATGGATTTTTTTCTTTCCTTGGAAACAGAAAAACGAATCTCAGTTTTCTCCCTAAGCCTTAGGCAACAGGGCTCCTTGCAAGTCACCTTCCCTTCCTTGTCCCCAAAACAAAGATGCATACATGTTCCCCGAGCACTGCAAACACAGCCTTTCTTTCAGGGGCAGCTGGGTCCCTGGATCCGCTTTCCCTCCCCTGGGCTGGTCCCAGTGTAAATCATCAGATCTCCAGGTCCACTCGTCTGCACACAGGCTGCTTTGTAAGTGGGAGAAAGAATCCACAGAACTTTACACTAAATCCCCATGGGAACCAGGTGAATAGGTGTGTGTGTTTGCACACAAGCCCGTATACATGGCAAACCAATCCAAGAGATGGTGACCGATGGGTCCATAAAGACTCTGGCTGGCAATGCTGTCAGCTTCCTTCAGCTGAGCGTCAGTTAGTTACCCTGGTAGTCTCAAATGTCTCCTTGTGTCTGGAGACAACATAGGGCCTGGCCCTGAGGACTGCCAGGCTGGGTCGCCCGGCAGCTGCACCTGTTGTAGGCTGGGTAGGCCCCCTAAAATGCTTTGGGCAGCCCAAGAGTGTCTTCCTGAGTCATGTGGAGCTGCCTCACCAGCAGCCCAGTGAGAGATTCACAGCCCTAGTGGAGAGTGGAAGCCCTGGGCTATCCCAAGCAATCCTTGCGTCTGTGGGGCTGGTGCCGCCCCTTTGCGTCTCTTCTTGCAGCTAAGCAGAGCTCAGAGGCCAGGAAAAAAGCCACTGGGTGTCTTTGGAAACAGCTGACCTGATTTTCAACATTCCCTTTGAGCATTTGCTAAAGGGGCACCACAGAAGGGCATTAAGGATGCCACCGTGGAAGGAAGCTGCAGATGACAGAAGCGTGAGCACTGCTGGAAAATGAGAAAGCTGAGTTGGGACTGCGTGCCATGGAGAACCTGTACTGTCACCCTCCCCAGCCATCTGACTACCAGCAGCTTCAGCAGCATCATCATTTGCATTCATTCATCTCTTTTCCTCACTCCCTCCCTCGATGAATCTCTTTGGGAATGATCTTCAAAAACTTTGCTTAGGTTTCAAGGTGCTTTTGATTCACTGTATTTTTCTTTAAATAAGCCTTTTAATTGAGCACAACGTTCATAGAGAGAAGCGCACACATCCTGAGGGGTCAGCCCAAAGAATTTTCAGAAAGTGAACACGTGAGGGTGGCAAGCACCTGGACTAGGAACCAGAACACCGCCAGCGCCCCAGATGTGCCCTTTTAGTCCACTTCTAGTCACTGTGCTCCCATGAGGGTGCTCACCCTACCCTCTAGTACTGACATTGATGTTGCTTATTTGTGAACTTCACTTGAATGAACTCATGCAACAGCGTGTCTGTGAGGTTCATGCACGTTTCTGAACGTGGGATCGCTGAAGTGTGGGGTTGTATTCGAAACTGTAGTTTGCACTCAAAGAACAGCAAGTGGAAGAAAATTACTTTGGAAAGGAATTTTCAAATCGAGTGTGAATGAGAGGGTCTTTGGGACTTTGGCCTTTGGAGTTGAGCTGACCTAAAGGTAGAAGGTGAACTAGGATCCTCTTAGCTCCCCACTCCACTCTGAACTGTGCTCCCAGGGCAATCCAGCTTCTGCTCTCTTTTACTACTACTTCATGTAATGATAAAAATTATGTCAGGTTAAATATCAGTAATTGCTTAAGTGAGTTTGTATATCAAGCTGTGTAGTAACGCCTCACTGAAACACTGCTCAGCTGAGACTGAGATTCAGTGTGTTGACGAAAAGAGTTAAACTCTAACATATTTGAAGAGATTTATTCTGAGCCAAATATGAGAGACCATGGCCTGTGACACAGCCCTCAGGAGTCCTGAGGACATGTGCCCAAGGTGGTTGAGGTACAGCTTGGTTTTATGTATTTTAGGAAGGGATGAGACATCAATCAAATACATTTAAGAAACACATTGGTTTGGTTCAGAAAAGGCGGAACAACTCAAAGTGGGGAGGCTTCCAGGCTATAGGTAAATTTAAACATTTTCTGGTTGATAATTGGTAGAGTTTATTTGAAGGTCTGGAATTAATGGAAAGGAATGTTCAGGTTAAGATAAAGGACTGTGGAGACCAAGTTTTATTGTTCAGAGGAATCTCTCAGATAGCAGACTTCAGAGAGAGAGCAGGTTGTAAAATGTTTCTTATAAGACCTAAAAGGGTGCCTGGCTCTTAGTTGGTTATCTCCTGGGTCTGGAAAGAAAGGAAGGAAAACAAACGGGGAAGGAGATTCTCTGTAGATTGTGGATTTTTCCCACAGAGACTTTGCAGGACAATTTCAAGGCATGGCAAGGAAATGTATTTTGGGGTAAAACATTTCGATTTTCTTCCTTGTTATGCCAGAGTCAGATTGGAAAGTAAGTCACTATATACAGGGTCAAATAAAACCCATCTGATGAGAATTTATGGTTTGTAGGGTATGACTCCCTAGACCCCTTAGATAGGAATTTGGGCAAGATAAAAAAAATCAGATCTTAGTCCTCAAGTGTAAAGCAGATCAATTGAGAATCCAAATCTGCAGGGTATAAGGTCAGACGCAGTCAACCGATGCATGAACCAAGAAGCATTTATAGAAGCCTCTGGCGCTTTTCCTTTGCTCACCTCTGTCCACAGGCTCTGAACTAATTCCTTCATTTTTTTTTAAATTTGCAAATAAGATTACTGTATTATAGATTTGAAGATGCACCCAATTATTTTATAAGCTTTTTTTTATGTAACACTAAGAAATTAAAAAAATGCTGAAGGTGCAGTCTAGTAGGAGACCCTGCAGCTGAAATGCTGAAGTCATTCTTTGTGTGCAGGAAACAAGAAAAAAGCCTGCCATGCAGAAAGTCACTGAGAAACCTGCTGGCCTCCATGGTGGCACGTGGGGGAGGGAGGAGAAGAAAACTCCTGAAAGAATGTGGACCACACAGCATGCTCTGGTGGGTATGTGGGCTGACAAAGAACAGGGAGCGCTAACAGTGAAAATGAAGAGCCTGCCCCGCCTCCCAGCGTGGACCTTGACCTGGGGCCAGACCAAGGCCACTTTATAGAAACGTCCCTGGAGCGTGTCTCAGGTGGCCCTGCCTGCATCCTGGCCTACCTCTGGGGCCCTTCTTACCCACAGTCCTACTTTCCACCCACCTTGACCCCAAGAGGTGTTCATTTATAACGCCCCTGCATCTTCTCAACTTCAAAGTCAGCTCGGACCTCGTTCACCCAGACAAGACCTTGGCTGAGTCTTGACAAACTGGCACAGGGTCCCCCGACAGAAGACAGCTTTCCTTTCTCTTTGCTTTCCTTTATCTTAGCCGAGTCCGGCCTCCCCAGCACTCTTTTCCATCTGGGGACAGTTCGTGCTGGTGGGAATTGGCAGGGGCACACGGTCCAGACAGAGACAACTGAAACACAGGTGTCCCGCTGGTGTGCCAGCAGGGCGGCCGTCCTACCAGGAGCAGGACACTTTGTTGGCCACTGCCCATGCAATAATCAGCGTGGGACAAACAGTCCCATGGGGAGTGAGGTGATGTGAAGAAAAGGAAGCCGAAGAAGAGAAGAAGCTGAAGGGCCAGTAAACACACACATAGACGCTCACCCTCCCCTTCGTTGGAAAAATGAACGGCTGCTGTTGCCGAGGGCTGGTGAGGATGAGGCCCCAGGCCTGCAGGAGGGCACATCCGGTTGGCCGCCTCGACGGGGCCATCTGGGTAGCTGCTGCCCTTTGCATGTAAATAAAGCTCCTCAAAGCCCCATTTCACAACTGCTGGGAGAAACAGCATCCTTCCCTCCTTCCCTATATTTCCAGGGAGGAGGTGGCTGGTTTTTTTTGTTGTTGTGTTTTTTTTGTTTGTTTGTTTTGTTTTGTTTTGTTTTTTCCAGATTTCTCCCAGCCACATCCAGCTTCTTGTTCTGTAATTTTTTTTTCCAAATTACTGACTGCCTTCTTTCAAGGGGAAATGGAACTCAGAAAGATGGGAAGATACATGATAAGAGCACTTAAGAGAGAAGCCTGTCCATTTCCACTAAGGTTGAAGTGTGCATACTCCAGGATCCAGTCCTTCATGTCTACACAAGGAGTCCCAGGAAAAGGTCTGTGCAAAACGTTTGTAATTGCAACGGAGCAGCCACGACCTAGCCCTCCTTCAGCAGAGGAATGAATAAACTGGTTTATTCAGTCAACGCAGCAGTTAAAATGAGAGAATTAGTGATGTTGAAAGGAAAAATGAAGAGCAAACAGATACAGTAGGAAGTTATCACGTACATTTCAAAAACATTCAAAACAACCGTACATATTTATGGATTCATGTAATAATGCAGTAAAAATACAAAATCAGAGCCAGGACTGTGGCACACTGAATTCAGCACAATGGTCGTCTCTAAATGTGGGTTCATGTGGGAGGAGGTGACCCCGGGGTGGGGGCTTCTGCTGTATTTGTCATGTTTGGGTTATTTGAAAGGGAGAGAGAGCACTGTAGTTATACAGTAAAATGCAAACATATTTTTTATTTTAGTGGTGAGTATACAGGTGTCTGTTGTGCTGTTTTCTGTGTGTTTGAATGGTTTCATAATTTTTAGAAAATTAAACCATGAGGTCGGATATGGTGGCTCACCCCTGTAATTCCAGCACTTTGGGGGGTCAGAGCAGAAGGATTGCTTGAAGACCAGCCTGGGCAACATAGCAAGATTCTATCTTTACAATTTCTAAAACATTTTTCAATTTAAAAATGATAAACAATGAAAAACTGCAAAGAAATAGATTGAAAAGTTCACAGTTGCTTTTGCCACATTTTGTGAATATGTTATTTTTATAATGAAAAATTACAGATAATTTTGATTGCTTTGAAAAGTAATTATGTGGAAAAGAAAAACAAATAGCAAACCATGGCATAGTTCCTGAGGCCTGCATCTTTCTAGCAGCCTCTTGGCAAATCGGGAGCTCTTTGTGAGGTGTGATTACCAAAACCCGCTGGAAGGGTATCAGCACCACCTCACAATGAACCCAGTGTTGCTAATTCTGACGCCAATATTTCCACAGGACTCAGTTGATGGAATCTTCCTGAATGTGTTATTTATGGTACCAAATGAAAAAAGACCTCATTTACCAGCCACACTCTAGGCTGCAAAGAGACAGATTTTTAGGCAGGTTCTTCATTTTATTTTTGCCCCATTTAAAACCAGCATCTTTGTAGTAACCAAAGTTAATTCAGGGCACATTTTGCTGCATTAGGTCCTGGGCCTGTGATCACTAAGACCTTTTGAAATGTAAATAAAGCTCCCAAACCCCCATTTCACAAATACTGGGAAAGCCAGGCTCCCTCCCAAATTTCCAGGGCGGAGAGGCGCGCGTTAAGATTCCTCCCAGTCGCCTCTAGCTTCTTGTTTCGGAATCCCTGCCCCAGATTACTGATCGTCTCACTGCATTATCTTCCTGAATTTGTGTCTCCTTCAGGGGGGATACCTCCCACCTCAAGGTGTGAGAAATTGGGGCACCCATGGGAGAGATGGAGGTGGCTACATTACTGCACCCCAAAACCTCCTGAAGATAAACGTCACATATCCTTGCAATCAAATCCCCGGTTGTTAAACGCCCTCTGCTCTCCTTGCCGGCAGGAACTTCCCAGTAGCTCTTTCCCAAGTGGAACCTCCCCTGTCATTTTGTTTGTTTGTTTGTTTGTTTGTGGTTTTTCATCTGGGTTTTGTTGTTGTTGTTGTTGTTGTTGAGAAGGAGCCTCGCTCTGTCACCCAGGCTGGAGTGCAGTGGCGTGATCCTGGCTCACTGCAACCTCCGCCTCCCGGGTTCAAGCGATTCTCCGGCCTCAGCCTCCCGAGTAGCTGGGACTACAGGCGCCCGCCACCACGCCCGGCTAATTTTTTGTATTTTTAGTAGAGACGGGGTTTCACCGTGTTAGCCAGGATGGTCTCGATCTCCTGACCTCGTGATCCGCCCGCCTCGGCCTCCCAAAGTGCTGGGATTACAGGCGTGAGCCACTGCACCTGGCCTTGGTCTAGGGTCTCTTAGTCTTTCACTCTCAGGCACTTTGAGGAAATGTATTAAACAGGACAATTTTGTTTTAATAGTCTCACTCTTGGCTTTGCCGCACGAGCTATGTTTTTGTTTCTAAAACAAAAATAAGGTTTACCAAAACAAGATGATCCTTAAGGATTTGGCTAAAAAAGAATTCTCTATGCCAAGTGAAACTATGCCTGCGGAAGTTAAATTCTCACCACCCTCCCACTCTGCACCAGCCCTGCCACCAGCCTCACTCCTTGAAAGTCTAGTTTGGGAATCAGAACATATCCAGAACAAAATGGAACCATGTTGTGCTAGGTGTCAAATGAATGATGCAAGCAAGAAATGTTGTAGGCATTGGTATGGCATGGAGGAGAAAACTAAGGCCTTGTACTACCTGCTCAGGAAGGTTAGGAAATGACAGAAACGGAAACCGAGTTTCAATAGCAGCATCTCTGAACTGGCTTTTTGTATTCTCGGGCTGATTTTGCAGGCTGGTAGCAGTTCCCTGTCTAGAAGATACAATGGACCCAGAGCCATCAGCTGCTTCCTGGGGGAAGTGGTGGTGGCTGGGGAGGGGGATCGTGATTCTGCTGCAGGATAATTGCCAAGGACAGAGGGAGGGCTGTGTTCTCCTGCCTGAAGATGGAAGTAAAGGAACATTTTAACTGGGCAAAACCCTTCAATCCTAGCCCAGCTGAGCAGGGAGTTGGTTTTCGAAAGCAGAGCTATACGGACAGCCCCTGTGCCGGATATGACCTCCTATATTAAGAAAAAGTGGAAAAAACAGAACTGAAAGGAGTAGAGATCTTCCTACAGTGCCAAGGCAGGCTTTAAGTCAGCTTTAGAAATAAATCAGCTGTGAGCAAATAACACCTCGCACAGTGCTCGGTCCTCAGCAACTACTCAGTTAAAGTCTGTTGAACGGATCAGGGATAACTGAACTCAGGAATCTAAGGAATAAGCATGATATAATTAATTGCAGCTCTGGTCTTAAGATTTCCTTGGGTTTCACCCCTGGCTGAGATGATACCACAAGGGAGCCTCTCTGTTGCCTCCCGCAGCCCTGCCCTGAGCTGAGACCCATCTGTAGGGCGTCAGGGCAGGAGGCGGCTGCAGCTTTCCCCAAAGATGAGTGAGCTCACGCCACAGCTTGGAGAAAGGAGGCACGAGCACAGTCATGTTACCGAGGCCAGGGCAGGGCTGAAGCCCCCCTCTCTCCATAGCCGTGTCTTACTATGACAAGGAACAAGTTTTTTCTCCACTTTTCCCTCCACTCCTAGGTTCAGGTCAACATGAGGGTGACCATCGCCAGGGTCAGTGCATTTGGTAGGAGACCAGGGACCGTTTCTGGGAATGTCAGGAATCTTGTCTTTCAAATGCTCACTTCACTTCACAGCCCCTGCGAGTGCCCTGAACCTTTGCAAGGTATGTTCTAAGAAAGGGAACAAGGCCGGGCGCGGTGGCTCACGCCTGTAATCCCAGCACTTTGGGAGGCTGAGACGGGTGGATCACGAGGTCAGGAGATTGAGACCATCCTGGCTAACATGGTGAAACCCCGTCTCTACTAAAAATACAAAAAATTAGCCAGGCATGGTGGCGGGTGCCTGTAGTCCCAGCTACTCGGGAGGCTGAGGCAGGAGAATGGCGTGAACCCGGGAGGCAGAGCTTGCAGTGAGCCAAGATCGCGCCACTGCACTCCAGCCTGGGTGACAGAGCGAGACTCCATCTCAAAAAAAAAAAAAAAAAAAAAAAAAAGAAAGAAAGAAAGGAAACAAATGAGGATGAGAGGAAACAGCTATGAAATCCTCAGAATCAGGTTCCACCAGAGATCCAAGCCCCAGTGCAGGAGTGGCCCCCTGTTCACTGGCTTTCTCCAAAAACGGCACCAGTGGGGGCCAGACACTTCACGTCTGGGCTGAGCATCTTTCCAAGCACGAACTGCCCAGCCTATGGAAGTGCAGGGCGCATGAGAGAAGAGAGGATTTATTCAACGACACAGAGTTCTTATTTATTTTTACTTTAGAGGACCATCCAGAATGCATTTCCACCCTGCTTTCCTTCTGTGGCTGCTACTGTAGCTCTTATTTATACCATCATCCCTTAAAACAAGGTGAAGTAGATGTGGGACTTGAAAGAATGAATTGTGCGGCCTTGAGCACACGGTTGTTCAGCAGAGGTGCCCTTCCCAGCCTGCCTGGTGCTGTCAGAACCATGGCTGGAGGGAGTGCCTCCCACTGTCCTCAAGTCCTCCCTGGGAGGTGACCATGTCTGTTTCATTTGTGCTGATCCCTGAAGGAGACACAGAGGGCAACGGAGTAACTATTGGTGCAAACCATCGGAATAAGATGCTTATTTCAATGTTGCAATGGAAGTCAGAATTTTCTGGTCAATCTGCAATATAATTTAAGCTAATACAAGCCTGCTATTAGAATTAACTAGATAGAGAGAGGGATAGTGAGCGGGGAGATGGCCCATTTGATCAGCAGAGCTTCTTGAAACTTGGATATGGTAAGAGGGTTGTGTGTCACCCTGAGTGACAGAGGTGGCCCCACTTGGTATTGTGTAAAATCACTAGCCAATGTTGTATGGATGATGTCACCACTGACATGTACGCATTCCTGTCGTCTCTTGCCTGCAAACTGATGGTGAGATACTTGTGGTAAAAATTATTTCTCATGCATCCTTCATGCTTAGCAAAGTGCTGCATTGACTTTTGCTTATTTTGTGGATGTTTGCCAGTGAATCTTTGACCCAGAATTGGAAGCAGAACCCAGACAGGTTGGCTCGTCTTACGCAAACCACTGGTGCAGGTTTGCACTGAGTGGAACGTATCCACTAATTAGCCTAGAGATAAAAATTCTTAGGAGATAAACTTCATTATGGAAAATTTCATTAAATTTTTATAAATATTGAGAAGGGAAATAGTGTAGTATAATCCTCCTGTATTCATCATCCAGTTTAACAATTGTCACCTCATACCCAATCTTTTTTCACCTGTACTGTCCCCCACCTGGATTGTTTTGTAGCAAATCCCAGACATCGCATCATTTTGTCCATAAATATTTCAGTATGCCTCTCTAAAATAGTAAAACTCTTTACAAAATAACCTTAATATCAATATTGTACCTAAAATAATGAACAATAATTACACAATCTTATCAGATAGTTATTGAATTTTCCAGTTTTGCTGATTATCTTATAAAGTTTTATAATGGTTTTTTTCAATTGACAAAATCAGGACTTCACCAGAGCAGGTAAAATCACTGAGATGGTTCTTGGGTCTCTGAAGTCTCTTCTAATCTCTACTGTTTCTCTTCCTCACCACCTGTTTGGAATGTTGTGAGGTACATGGATGTGCTTTGGTCAAAGAATAGGCCGAGGCGGACACCCAGGCCTGCATGACTCAGTGAGTTTCGCGTGCCAGCGCACACCTCCACTTGTTATATAACCTGTTTGTGTAAGTTCATACTTGGCTCTGAGCCACTATTGTCTGTAAAAGGTATAACTGTCCTGGTGATGCTGTACAGAGGCTCTTGGCTCTTGGGGCTCAGCTTTGCCTCAACGTGGCTTCACGTGGCGGGCACCCTGGTGCCCAGAGAGAGAACCAGAGCTGTCCGTCCTGCAGATGGACACAGGGGAGCCACAGCACGGCTCGCGCTGGTGCCCAGAGAGAGAAAGAGTGAAGCTGCTGACCCTGAAGGCAAGGCAGAGTCTGCCATGCAGCTGCAGATGTCGGGGTGACAGGAGCCGCAGAGCCGGAGCAAACGGCTGAGATAAGAGCGGACAGCGTGAGAGAAGCTGCCCATGAAAGCGCTGGTGTGAAAAAGCTGTTAATGAAAGCGGCTGCTGAATAAAACCATATTCACCTGCCTAGAGCTCCCCAAGCGTTCTTTCCGCTCATCCACCCACTCCCCTCGGACCGCAGCATGGGCTGGACCTGGACCCCAGGATCTGAAAAATGTATTTGTTGAAGAAATACAATTTTTGTCCTGTAGAACCTGCAATTTGCTAATTGCATTTATGTGGTATCTTTGAACATGTCTCTGTCCTCTGTATTTCTGGTAGTTAGATCTCGGGTCCAATGTCTTTGTCAAGAATACTTCCCAGATGGTGTGTGTACCTCAGCTGCAGGACCCTTATGCTTGGTTGTTGCCCATCATTACCATAGGTTATTTCATCAGAGGTGGCAAAATGGTGATTTTCTAATTTTTAATTCATTTTTTCCTTTATTTTGTTTGCTGGAATACTTCTATAAAGAGAAACTTTCCCTCATCAACTATTTGATGATGTAAGGTGCAGTTTATATAAAGCCAGATACATGCTGGATTCTTTTCCCTTACTGACCAGTTTTTAAAACGAGTTGGTTTCCTAGTCTCCTGCAACCAGTGATTTTGATACAGAATGGTTGGGCTCCTGGCTAAACCCCACCCTTGGGCCTGGAGCCGCAGCCCTAAGTGAAAACAGCTGACCCCGTTTTCCACCCAAATGTTGCCTTTTTGGCCTGCCATGCCCCTATCCTGTGCCCATAAAAAGACTTCAGCTGGCAGAGCAACACAAGCGGCTGATGCAAGGGGTCGGGGATGCAAGCTGCTGAACGTAGGGGATGCAAGCGGCTGAGCATCAGAGACTACAGATAGACGCAGCTAACCTCAGACGGTGCAGCTTCAGGGAAAGATCACCTTCTTCCCGCACCATCCCCTTTCCAATTCCCCATTCTGCTGAGAGCCACATCCATCGACCAATAAAATCCTCTGCATACACTACCCTTCAATCTGTTCCTGTGACCTAATTCTTCCTGGACACCAAACAAGAACCTGGGTGCCGAGAGGGCAAGGGCTTGGATGCTGCTGTGGGGCCTGCGCAGAGTCTGCTCTCATCAGAGAGGAGCGACCAGCTGTTTCCAGCATTTGTTCCCTCCAGTTCCAGCACTCACCTGCTCACACGCTCCCTCTCGCGAGGAGTGGCCAGCAGCGGGCTGAGTGAAATGCGCCACTCCAGTTCCCGCCTACAAAGCATGTCAAGGTCAAGGGAACAATCCCGTCTCAATTTGTTGCAGTAGATATTGCTCTTGGTTTTGAGTATCGGTATGAAGGAATGGACTTAAACAGAGGAATGTGTTTTCTTCCGTTGCTATTTGTGTTCTTATTGATGCTCAAGTGGTCACATTTTCAGCAAGAGGCAGCCTTAGCAATGTAACATGAATGATGGCTTTGATTTACGTAGTGATGAAAGTGATGTGTGGTTGTGTAGACATCATCTATGATGATCTCATCCAGAAGGGCCCTCAGTGACAGCCTCTCATGTGTAAGGGACTGGCCAGATCCCATGCCACAAGGAATTTCTTTATGGCCTCATCACCTATTTGTCTGCTTCATTCACACAAGTGTGGTTCAGATGAATGAATAAATGGATGGGTAAACTTCTGTAGGCCACCAGGCAAAAGTTACATTATGTCAACTGCTCCTGAATACATGTGGTATAACAACCATTGGTAGTCTTCATAAGACACTAAGCTGAGGCAGTGAGGTAGAAGTGGCAGGCAGGAAGAGGGTAAAAATATGTATTGAGGCCAGGCAAGGTGGCTCACGCCTGTAATCCCAGCACTTTGGGAGGCCAAGGCAGGCAGATCACTTGAGGTCAGGAGTTCAAGACCAGCCTGGCCAAGATGGTGAAACCCTGTCTCTATTAAAAATACAAAAATTAGCCGGGTGTGGTGGTGGGCGCCTGTAATCCCAGCTACTCAGGAGGCTGAAGCAGGAGAACCGCTTGAACCCCGGAGGTGGAGGTTGCAGTAAGCCAAGATAGCACCACTGCACTCCAGCCTGGGTGACAGAGTGAGACTCTGCCAAAAAAAAAAAAGAAAAATATATATAATATGTATTGAGTGCCTGTTTTGTGTAAGCAGGGTTCTAGTCATTTAAGATGTACCTGAATAAAACAAAGAGCCTTACTCTCCTAGAACTTGTGTTTCTACCTGGGGAGACTGTCAGTAAACCATCCACAAAATAAATACAGCAGATGCTGTTAGAAGATGATGGTGCTATGGTGTGCTGTGGAAAATAGAGAAAGTAGAGGGAAGTGAGAGGGATTGCGTACACTAGGATTGTGACTTTACACAGAAGGGTCAGTGGTGCCATTTTAGCAAAGATCTGAGAGAGGTAAAGGAATAAGCTTTGCAGAAGTGTGGGAGACAAATGTTCCAGGTACAGGAAATGACCAACGCCAAGACCCTAGGGTGGCAATGTGTCTGCTTTGAGTTCTAGAGAAGGGGTATATTATACATCGCTTTTTGTGACTCACTTTTTGGCAAACATTATGCTTCTAAAATGAACCTGTATTTTGGAATATATCTGTGGTTCATTAATTCTCATCTTTGTACAGTATTCTATTATATAAATACACCATGATTTATTTAGTCAATTAACATTTGGGTGATATCTGGTTTTTTTGCTATTATAAATGCTGCTATGGGCCAGGCACAGTGGTTCATACCTGTAATCCCAACACTTTGGGAGGGTGAGGTCGGAGGATCACTTAAGCCCAGGAGTTTGAGATCAGCCTAGGCAACATAGTGAGACCTCATCTCTCAAAAATATTTTTTTTAAAATTAACTGGGCATGGTGATGTGTACCTGTAGTCCCACCTACTTTGGAGGCTGAGGCAGGAGGATCACTTGAGCTTGGAGCTTGAGGCTGCAGTGAGCTATGATCATGCCACTGACTCCAGCCTGGGCGATAGAGTATGACTTTGTCTCAAAACAACAACAACAATAATAATAACAGCAATTAAAATGTACTCTGTGAACGTCAACTAATAACTACAGTCATTTTCACTGGCCAAAGAGAAAGGGACAGGTGTAGGCTGAGTTCATGCCCAGTAAAACTAAGTGGCACTGCAGTTTCAAGAAAACTGCACAGAAGCATGAATGAAGGGACAGTGGAAAGGATGCTGGATGATCATGAGACACAATGATACAGCAGCTGCTATAGCAACTTATTTATGTTGGGAGTGGCTATTGGTATCAGTAAAACAATGCCACTTGTCCATAACTTTAACAACTTAACTTTCATTGCTTTTGTAACTTTGTCCTTAATTTTTAAATCAGTTTTTGTTTTACAGCTATAAAATAACTACCCACAAAAGAACATTATTATAAAAATAAAAAAGTCCACACCCATTTAAGAATCTTTTATTTTTGGTCGGACGCAGGGGCTCACGCCTGTAATCCCAGCACGTTGGGAGGCTGAGGCAGGTGGATCACGAGGTCAGGAGTTTGAGACCAGCCTGGCCAATATGGTGAAACCCCATTTCTACTAAAAATACAAAAATTAGCCAGGCGTGGTGTCGGGCGCCTATAGTCCCAGCTACTCGGGAGACTGAGGCAGGACAATCACTTGAACCCCGGAGGTGGAGGTTGCAGTGAGCCGAGATCACACCACTGCACTCCAGCCTGGGTGACAGAGTGAGACTCGGTCTCAACAACAACAACAACAAAAGAATTTAGAAGAACCATTACTGTAGGTGGAGAGAAAGTGGTCACAGGAGACGCTTTTGTAACTTACCCAACATCCGTTACCTCTCTGTCTTATCTTACTCCATTTGTGCTGCTACAACAAAATACCTAAGACTGGGTAATTTGTAAACAATAGAAATTTGTTGTTTACAGTTCTGGAAGTTGGGAAACCCAAGATCAAGGTGCCAGCAGATCTGGTGTCTGCTGACAGCTACTTCTTGCTCTGTCCTCACGTGATGGAAAGGACAAACACTCTCTCGACTCTCCTTAATAGGGGCACTAACTCCCATTCATGAGGGCAAAGCTGTTATGACCTAACCATCTCCTAAAGGCCCCACGTCTGAATACTATTGCATTGGGGATCAGGTTTCAAAATATAAATTTTGGAGGGACACAAACATTTAGACCATAACAGTCTCCTTTTCTGCTTCCTAATACAGACTTGAGTTTGTTTAGCTATTTCATCTCCCCTGTGCAGCCACATGTTTAGGGGAGACTGCCTCATCCACTTTCCAAGCTCCTGATGGGTCCTAGCCAATTGTGGCCACCTCATATAACTTGCCAGTGGTTGGTTTAAACATGAGCATATGATGCGATTTTGTCCAACAAGACCCAAGGGATAGGCTGGTGGGGGGTTTCTAGGAAAGATTTATTCACTTTTAACAAGAGATACAAAGAAATGTCAACCCCTATCTTGTTTCTCTGAAACAGTTGTGTGTGGACGTCTCACTTAAAACTCCTTCAGCTCCCGTGTAAGCACAGGGAGAAGCTGGAATGCCGGGGGCGGAGGAGCAGAAAGGTGAAAATGATCTGAGTCCTAAGTTTCACATGCGTGAGCCCTGGAGAGCCTTATCTCCTGACTTTTGTTTCAGGAGATGGTCAATTTCCCCTGATGTTTGCTCCGTTGAAGGTGAGTTTCCATTACTTGCAGTTCAACACGTTCTAACTGGCACAGGGTCCTATAGGGTCTACTAGAGGATGTGCCCTGGGCTCCTGGCCCACTTCCCACAGCAGGCTTGAGCTCCTGCAGGCTCATTATCCCAGCACCTGGCACAGGCCTGGCAGCCAGTGGACATTTAGTAAAGAGCTGAGGACGAGGGATGCATACTAGATTATAAATAAAGGGACCTAACCTGTTGGCCATCCACATGAGATGGGCACATAAGGCCTCTGCGGTGCCCTTTCGGAGGCAGCAAAGATACTGGGTGTCTGCGTTCTCAAGCGGCACCAATCTAAAGAAAGCTGCATCTCAACATAAGTTACTAAACACTGGAAGTCAACCGAGTAGAGGCCCAACACTGAATGGCAAATAGCATAATGAAGAGCAAATTAGAACGATTAATAGGAATGCAATCAGAAGCTCTGCAGGAATAATGGAGAATAATAGATCATAAATGAAGTACGGGATTGGCTCGACGGGTGTATTTCCAGCCCAGCAGGCAGCATGCTATATTCATGCTTCACAGCGACAATAGCAAAGAAAATAGATGTGATTTTACAAAACAATGGGCCTAACTAAGCACGCATATTTAGTTCTCTTCAAAAAGGAGGAGGGAGCCACAGCTGACAAACAATTTGATCTTCTCTCCATTTCCAGCTGGAGATTTTAGAATGAAGCAAAAATGAATTTTTATCTTTTTCAGGTTAACTTTGTAAAAATTGCTTTTATTTCCCAGGTTGGGTGGGAATCGTAACAGAAGATGTAACAACTCTAGGTAAAAAGTGTACCATTGTAAGATCTGCTTAGTAAGTTTCATCAAGTAGTAAGCATGCCATTGATATTATTTGCTTTTCAGATAAAATATCAAAAGAAAATGTATGGAAGTCTAATTTATAGACACTGTAGCTTTGCAACCATAAATAAAACTCGAGTAGGGCACAGAGATAACAAAACCAAACACACAGAATCTTGGCTTTCATGCAGGCTATGGAATGAACTCTGCCAAGAAGAAAAAATCAAGCACTACCTTCTCCCAATAGTGGTTCTTTTTTATTTAAAAATAAATGATGTAAGCAAGTTTGTTCAAGATAGATTTTGAGACCTGCAGGAAACCTGGGGAATGCTGGGCCCCAGAGTCTGAAGATCATTTCTCCTGCTCCTGACTAGCTCATCTCTGCTCTGCTGGGAGGCAGGTCCTGCCGTCGCTATGGAGCAGGTCTGGAGGGCTCCTCACTGGAGGAAGAATATCATGGGTGGCCAGAATTCTGACCTCTGGAAGCCTGATGCCTGAAAATTATACCCCGGGGACCCACTGATTTTGTGAGTTGCCTGGTTGGTTGGAAAAAATTATTTGACTCTGGTTGACAGAAAGTAGCAGTGAGAGGTGAAGCCAACTGGGCTTCTGGGTCAGGTGGGGACTTGGAGAACTTTTCTGTCTAGCCAGAGGATAGTAAATGCACCAATCAGCGCTCTGTATCTAGCTAGAGGATTATAAATGCACCAATCAGCATTCTGTAAAAATGGACCAATCAGCACTCTGTAAAATGGACCAATCAGCAGGACATGGGCGGGGGCCACATAAGGGAATAAACGCTGGTCACCAGAGCCAGCAGCAGCAACCTACTTGGGTACCGCTTTCGTGCTGTGGAATATTTGTTCTTTTGCTCTTAGCAGTAAATCTTGCTGCTGCTGACTCTTTGGGCCCGTACCACCCGTAAGAGCTACTCACCGAGAAGATCCCCGGCTTAATTCTTGAAGTCAGCCAGAGTGAGAACCCACCGGAAGGAGCCAACTGTGGACACACCAGGGTTATGAGACCAGACTGCCAGCTTGGGCCTGTGCTTGGTTCCACCAGTCGTGTGACTTTAGATAAGTTGCTTAAACTCTCTGAGCTTTAAATATGTATATGTAAACTGGGATTAATAAATAATACATCTTAGGGGTGGTGTTAAGATTAAATGAGTTAATACTGATTGTATAGCACCTAGAATAATGCTCAGCACATAGCATGTACTTAGACTTCACCTGTCGTTCTTTTAGTCTGTTTTACGGCAAATCCAAGAAGCATTCTCGTGTAGGAGTGTCAGAGCCACACGGATGTTTACACCTGCGTCGGGGCTGTAGCCCTCATGCCACAGCTGATCGGCACAGAAGCGGATGGAAGGGGATGTCTGTGGCGTCACCCTCTTGAAGATTGATCATTTTACTGCCTAGATAAAAAGTGAGACAAACCACAGTAGAAACTGTCAACTCTTGCTTACTAGCCAGGACAGTGTGTTAAGTAGCCGAAGCCCTCCCCAAGACTGGCCTAAAACAGACGAGGTTCATTTTTCTCACGAAAGGAGTCTCTAGGAGGGCAGGCCAGAACTTTTGCAGCTGCTCCAAGAGGCCTCAGGGACCGAGTCTCACTGTGTGTTTTCCTCCTCTCATCCTGAGCTGGTTGGATTTCCTTTCCATATTTTCTCTCTCACGGTCACAAGATAGCTACTGTTTTGCCAATAGTGACAATTGCATTCCAGGCAGAAAGAAATGGAGAGTGTACAGGGGAAAAATAAAGTGCTTTCCTATAGAAGGGTATTGCCCTTTCTGGGGAGGGACAGCCACTCTAGGGGTTTCCACCTGCATCTTACTAGATAGAATTGTCGTATTCTCCCCCATCCCCCCCAGCCCCTGGCTGCAAGAGGCTGAGAAATGGAGGATTTTGGTTTTTCAGCTTCTAGAGCAAAGAAAGGCAAAGGGGGAAAAGGGTGGGAGTGATTTTAGGGATACAATCTACAGAATTGACCACACGTGACAATGCCGCAGAGGAATATTCCTGCCTGGATTCGATTTTTGAGTCACTAAAACATTGCTTAACCTTTTACCACCAAGAACTTTCTGGGTGGAAATGGTTTCTGTCCTAGAAAATGGGCTAATAGTGTTGTCTTCGGGAGCCCAGCATGGAATCCTGACATGAAAGAACGTATTTCCTCTTGCAATTTTATTCCCCAGTGAAAGATTAGGCTTCAAATACAAATTCCCTTGAACTGGACAATACAGGAAGTTAAATTTAGACCTAACAGAGTAACTTCTAGAGCAGAAAATGTCCTGAGACAGGTATTCAGTGAGAAGAGCTGCACTAAGAACAGGTGTGGAGGCAGTTTGGCCTTAACAGCAAAATCTGCTGCTCCGCAATGTTGCCCAACCAGGGCATTTTTGTCAACTCGGCGCTAATGTGGATTTATTTTAGGAAACTAAAGACAGTCATTTATCACAAAAAGTAGGTTAAAAACAAAAGAAGCCCTTTGTTCAAACCAAGTCTTCCAGGTCACCCTGGTGTATCTAACAGCTAAGGGTCTGGCTGTAGTGGCCACTGCAGGGCCAGGGCTGCCTTCCCCTCTCCCCTGCCTTCCACATCAACTCTGGGTTCTGGATGTTTCTGTTTTTTGGGGTTGGCATCAGTAGTGAGCACAGCTTATGTGCAGGTACAAAGTGTTTTAAAAGATTTTTTTTTCCAACAGTTTTTCACAAGAACTCTTTCTTTTTTCTTTTTTTTTTGTAATGGACTCTTGCTCTGTCACCCGGGCTGGAGTGCAGTGGTGCGATCTTGGCTCACTGCAACCTCTGCCTCCTGGGATCAAGTGATTCTCCTGTCTCAGCCTCCTGAGTAGCTGGGATTGCAGACACATGCCATCACGCCTGGCTAATTTTTGTATTTTTAGTAGAGACAGGGTTTTGCTATGTTGGCCAGGCTGGTTTGGAACTCCTGACCTCAAGTGATCCACCCACCTTGGCCTCCCAAAGTGCTGGGATTACAGGCATGAGGCACCGTGCTCAGCCCACAAGAACTATTTTTATTGTCAGTAAGTGGAAGAAGTGATGAGTGATTTATTTGTGTTTCCCTGGGGTCACAGGGTCCAGGGTGATGTGCTGCAGGACTTAGAACTCACACGCTGCAAACTTGTTGCCTTCCCTCTGAAACAGAGGCCCCAAATTTGGTGCACATGTGCATCAGCGAGCACTTCTTCAAAATGCAGATTTGGGGCCTGACTCTGGCTATTTGGCTTCAAAATTCTTGGATGGGACCTGGAAATCTGCATCTTCCACAAGGAGCCCAGGCGGCCTTTATTGATGTGGAGCAGAAACCACACTTTTGAGAAACCTTGTTCTCTAGCCTGGTGTCTTAGTCCATCTGTGCTGCTATAACAAAATATCTGAGACTGGGTAATTTACAAATAATAGAAATTTACTTCTGCCAGTTCTGGAGGCTGGGAAACCCAAGATCAAGGCATCAGCAGATCTGATGCCTGGTGAGGGCTGCTCTCTGCTTCCAGGGTGGCACCTTGTTGCTGTGTCCTCACATAGTGGAAGAAGAAGGGGCCAAAGGGGATGGGAAGGGTGAATTCTCTCCCTTAAGCTGGTGTGCCCCTTCCACCATGTGAAGACACAGCAAGAATGTGTGAGTAGCCCTCACCGGACACCAGATCCACTGGCACTTTGATCTTGGACTTCCAGCCTCCAGAACTGGGGGAAATAAATGTCTGTTGCTTATAAGCCACCCAGTCTACGGTGCTTTGTTATATGGTGTGGATGGACTAAGATACTCACATGGCGAAGTGGCTTGCACTAGTCAGGCGCAGCTAGAAAAGCAGAGCTGGGATTCAGACTCATGCCTGAATTTTGTTCCAAAACCAGAACTGCGACCTCTTGTTTAGATGGCTTGTGGACTACTCATTGTATTGAGAGTACCGCTTTACTTCCGATTCTGCCCTGTATTTTTACTAAGTGAATACAATCTCAAGGATAACTTCTAGAATTCATCATTGCTTCATTATATTTCCAGTTGCCCCACACTAAATTTATCGGTCCCAATTAAGTCCATATAAAGAGGAGTGTCAGCGGAAGAATAACAAGGTTCATAAATTTGGAAAGGAGAGCTTCATTTCTTATAAAGGGTTGCAGCCTGCCAGGTGGCCATTCTGACAGGCAGGAAGCATAGCCTCCGGCCAGAATCCAGAAACAGACACTTCAAGGGTGGGAAGAATAAGGAATTTATGCTGAACGGGTGGCCAAATATACATATTCAATAAGCTACAGGAGGATCATAAATATTTATGAGAGAGGTAACCTGCGAATGCGCAACCAAGCACGATGCCTCTCTACATTCAAAAAATGGCAGCGTCAACATGATGGGGTTGAGTATTCGCCCTCTGACATCAAAAGATGAAGAGGGAACACAAAAACCCTCTCTGTGCATCCTCCGTAGGCCAGCCGGAACCACTCTGTGGTTGGTGGTCTCTTATCAGGAAGGAATACTGGTGGATTGTTTCGTCCAAACTTCAAAAGAGGTGCAGTGGTAGGTGGTTGGTTGATATCTGGGTGGTCTTTCCAAAGGGCTGGTTTCTGTTTAACCTTAGGGAAGAAAGCCTAAGGGGGGTTAGCAGGGGCCTGTCCGACCTCCCAACGGTCACGGTGGGGAACTCAGTTTTCATTTCCCTGGGATACCCCTGGCCAAGAGGGGATTGGTTCAGTTGGTTGGGAGGCACAGGATTTCATTTTTTTCAGGGTGTTAGTGTGGAAAAAACACAAAAGCTGCAAGTGCGTTTTCCTATTTTCTCACTCAACAACACAACAATCAACACAGATGAAGACTTCTGTGAACAAATGCGGGAGATTTCTCCCCAGCTGCAAACAAGCAAGCAGTTCTTCAGGGGACACCAGCTGGGTGTCCTCTAATTCAACTACAATGCTGTTTACCTGGAGGTCGTGTCAGATCTCACAGTGCTCAGTGTCTGAGGCTGCCATCCTTAACCCCAATCACTAGTCACAATTCTGCGCCTCCGGAACTTCTGACCTATTAGCTTCAAGTTGGGGTTCCCACAATCCCCTCTCTGGGTTTGATTAATTTGCTAGAGTGGCCCGCAGAACTCAGAGAAATACCTTTACCAGTTTACTTAAAGGACATTACAAAGGATACAGAAGAAGAGATGTGTAGGGCAAGGTATGGGGGAAGGGGTTTGCTACCCTCCGGAAACCTCCACCTGATCACCTACCTGGAAGCTCTCCAGATTCTGTTCTTTTGGGCCTTTTATGGACACGTCATTATGTAGGCATGATTGACAAAACCACTGGCCATTGGTAATCAACTTAACCCCCAGCTCCCTCCACTCCTTGGACATTGAGGGTTGGAGCTGGAAGTCCTGAACCTCTAATCCTGCCTTGGTCTTTCTGGAGAACAGACTTTCCTTAAACAGTCTAGGGAGCCCAGCCATCAGTCAATCATTAGCATATGAAAAGACATCATAAAAGTCAATTATAAAAAGACACTTGGAGATTCCCAGGATTTTAGGAGCTGTATGCCAGGAAACGGGATGAAGAACAAATATATATTTCACAATATCTCCCCTTGAGATGAGATTGAGAAATACAATAAATTAGAAAACAGATTTCATACCAGCATAACCAAAATAAATCTTTGCCAAATTCAGACGCAACTCAAATGTCCATTGACCTTAAAAACAATGACAACAAAGCCAACAACAACTGGAAGACCTTCCACTTTCAGGGCCAGGATGGGCAGACTGCAGTGGAAACCGGGGTGTGGATGCCACGAGCCCGCCCGAGAGCAGAATTTAGGAAGCAGCTTCTGGAATGTACTGCAGGTCTCAGTAGGCCATGAGTCTCGTAAGCCCAGTCTGCCTTCACTGGGCTTGTCTGCAGCTTGGCCTCGTGCCCCTGGACACAGGTATGAGGTGAAGATGGCAAAGAGATTCACATACTAAGAAGCCACCCTCGTCAGGCTGGCCTGTGCTGGAGTTTAGTGTCTGTCATGTTGGGGTGTGGCACCTTTGTTTGCAGGCTAGCCTTTATATGCCCCTGTATTTCATTGTTTGCTTTTGTTTTTTCCTTTAGTCACCTAGTAAACATTTCTACTGGAAAACCTTGCCTCAGAAGAACTAAGAGGAAAAGCAGTGTCCACACCCAGACCAGCCTCGCCAAGGAGGGCAGAGGTTCCTCTCGAGGACGGTCTTGGTCAACGTGGCCACAGCTCCTGCTCCAACTAGCACTCAAAGGAGTCTGCTGGGGCCCCAGGGAACACGGGGGGCAGTGGCGCACCCTCAGTGATGGCTGCTCTGTAGACAGAGCCCCAGGACTTCTCTCCCTCCTTCTTCAGCTCTCTGCCCTGTTGCTCTGCACAATCACAGCGCTTGTCACTTACATGTCTGTTTACCCGACCCCTTGCCAGCCTGTCATTGTTATTTTGGTATCCCCAGCACCTATGTGATGTGTAATATGTAATGAAGGTTTCTCTCATGAAACCAAATGGTGAGCATTGAAGTAGGGGGAGAGGCTGCATGAGCAAAAGGACCATTACCCTCTCTCTTCTACCAACTGGGAGGCCAACAAACTGAGGAGATGGGCTGCCCGGTGATGGGAGGACAACATGGTGCAGCGTCCTTAGAGAGCTTCCGGTAGGCCTCAGGCTGCTGTGAGGGAGCTTAAGGTTATTAGCTGTTAAACTGTTGCTATTTTGAAAAAGTTGAAAGAGCACTGTGCACTATGTGCTCAAGTGCATTTGACTCAGGAGATGGTTAAGAGGGGGTGAGTTTGGGGAATGCTTGCACTGGGAGAGAACTTGGGGTACAACTCCATGCGTGTCTGTGGGTCTCTCCACAAGATGGCACTCATCTCTTGTTCTTAGCTCCTGCTAATGAAAAGTTTGTAATTTTTAAATCCCTGCAGAGCAATGAGGATGACTTCTGTTTCCTGTATTGGCAACTTACATGTTTTATTTCCCTGGGAACCTGGGCCACGGTGAGGGTAGCTGCATTAGGTACTAAAGTCTGGTGAGCCCTAGGGGGCACAACGTGGTTGCACATCCTGCAAAACCGGGCTCCCTAAGTTAGTTTAAGCACAGGTGTTTGGAGTGGTCGCTAGGGTGACGTGTTTGAGTAACTTGCCCTATTCGATGCTGGCCTCGGCTAGTGGGACTGCTGCCATTATTTTGTATTGCTGTAACAGTCACCGGTCACACTGACTTTGTCTCTGAACACAACCCTGGGCTTGTTTGTGATTAACAGTGTCAATCTGCAGGAGAAAGATCCTTGGTCTCTGAACTTCATGAGAGGAGTTAAAAAAAAAAAATTGCAGACTGAGGTACCCAGTATAAACCATGAGGAGAATCCTGTGGAAGTCTTTTCACCACCTTTTGGACGCAAGGAGTGCGCTTACTCATGGGATTGTTGTATTATCAGAAGTAATGTACTTTATCAAGTCTCTTTCCTTCAATACAATCCTTCCAAGAGGATGCTGCCCAGGAATTTATAGGATGAGGCAAATTCCAATGATGCTAATCTGGCCTCATTGATAGATCTCCAGAATATTCCAGTTGACCCCAATTTTCACCAGTCTTGAGAAAATTTGCAATGGGCCATCCTTCCCCCTTCCTCATGTCGTGCCACAGGGCCGAACACTCAGTGGTGCTGGAGATGTTTGTCACACTTGATGTAGAATCTCGTTTCATACAAAGGCCACAGGGGAGACAATTCCCAATTCAAAAGCATTTAAAACAGTATGCATGTAGGCAGTCCTTGCAAATGTCACCAGCTAATGACAATAATCCGTCCTGTTTCTGCAGGGCCTTATAATACATGTGCACTTACATCTCTATCCTGCCTGCAGCCCCTTCAAGACACCAGGAGACAGATTGTTAGGTCCGTTTTGGAGAGAAGGAAATGAAGACTCAAGAAGGTCATGATTTCTACAAAGTCACAAAGCAGGCATGTCTCAGAATTGGGATAAAAACCTACGTTGCCTGAGTCTTGGCCCACTCTTTCCTTCAAATCCTTGGTTGTTTCTGGGTGCCAGGCGCTGTTTTAGATATTAGGAACACAGCAGCAAACAACTGTCAATTTACAAGAGAAGGATCGTTGGTCTCTGAACTTCATAAGAGGACTTAAAAACAAATTGCAGGCCAGGCGCGGTGGCTGGCCAGGATCGTGAAACTCCGTTGCTACTAAAAATACAAAAATTAGCTGGGCGTGGTGGCGTGTGCCTATAATCCCAGCTACTCGGGAGGCTGAGGCAGGAGAATCTCTTGAACCTGGGAGGCGGAGGTTGCAGTGAGCCCAGATCGTGCCATGGCACTCCAGCCTGGGCAACAAGAGCAAAACTCTGTCTCAAAAGAAAAAAAAGTTGCAGCCTAGCAACAAAGTATAAGCCATGAGGAGAATCCTTTTACCATTTCTTAAGCTTTCAGACCACCCCTTTTGACACAAAGGATGCACTTATTCCTGGGATTGGCCTGTTGGGTGGGGTGCAGTTTTAAACAGGGGGCTCAGGTGACATTCAAACAGAGGCCTGAAAGTGGAAGAGGTGAGTCACACAGAATTCTTAAGGAAGAGCTTCCAGGCAGAGGGAACAGCTGTCACAAAGACCTGCCATGGAAGGGCCTAGTGTATCCCAGGAAAGCACTGAGCCACCTGCTGGGGGACCTGGAGGCCACAGTCTGACCTCGGCTCTTCTTCTGACCAAGACGAAGCCATCAAAGGGCTTCAAGCTGACATGTGCTATGATATTTCTGACATCTTAACAGGGTCACTCTGGGAGATTTCCTTACAATATAAGTTGTCAATATAATCCAAGAAAACAATGGCCCAGAGGAAAAGAGTATTACATGACTATTACTGTAGGTCTCACAGTGAGGTGACAATCACAAGCACTGTCTGTGGGGTGCCTGCCATGGGCCAGGTAGTTGGCAGGGGGCTTTCTTTACCCACAACATTTCATCCCGTCCTTGCCGTTGGCTGCATGATGTATTTATTATTATGCCATTTTACAGATGAGAAAACTGAGACTCGAGTCCACAGGCTAACCAGTGGCAGCCTTGGGCCTTCACTCTACGGCCCTTCGCCTCTGTTGTGAGCACGTGCACATCAGTCAAGGCTGAAACGATCCTTTCAATGAAAGAAAATGTGATATTTGGTAAAGTGCCTTGAAAGAAATACTCTCATAATAAGAATTGGTAAATGTTGTCTAATTAACACATTGGCAGTGTTCTTCATGTCATTTCTACATGCCGTTCAACCTGCAAATATTATTTTTTAAAATTAATCTAGTAATATTTAATACTTTTTAAAGGGAGCCTTTGATTAACTTTGGTCCCATCAACAAACACTAATTGCATTAAGCTTTTTGAACAGCCTTTGTAAATGTAATCATTTGACTTCCTTAATTGTCTGATTAACAACAACGAAAAATCTTCCCAAGTACTTAAGTAATAATTCCTGTAAATATAACAAAATCTAGACATATAATAAATTTTAAATTCTCTTAAAATATCAACATAAAATTATAGTCTACATCAACTTTTTAGCTCCACAGTTTAAGTTAGAATTACAAGTTTGACTGACACTCCAGCACACAAAATCCTCTTAAATGTAACAAATAAGGAAAAGGCCAAATATCCACAGATTACCTCCTAACCCCAAGATATCAGAAATAGATTTGATTCATCTTCATCATTTCTACACTTAATGCTGTCTCTTTTCAGGATTACAAGTCATTTTCCCACTAAAAAAAAAAGATTCCGAATAAATTTGGAGTTGAATTTTCAAGTGAATTTTTGGGGCCTCCTTACCAGCTGGCCGAGGTTGCATCATGAGCAGGGATGTTAGCTTGGGTGCAGGAGTTAGAAGTAGAGAGGTCAGGATGATTTTTGTTGATTTTGTACTTGCTAAGTCACTGTCTTGCAAAGGTCAGCTCCTAGTCCTGGCCCCTACATTCGGTCATATGTCACCTGCTTCTGTACACTTAGACATGCCTGCAACCTTGCCAGGTCTCTGTAGCACATGGCTGGATTTAACAACATCGTTTCTGGTCTAATTCTATTCTAAATTCTTTTCATATTCTGCACATTTGCTGCAGCTGTAACTTCCAGCCACTGCTCAAAGATGAAGATGGGGCTTAAAGCTAGACAGTGGAGTGAGGCTAGCCAAGGTCAGAACTGCAGAGATGGCAGGTGTGTATGTGCTGGGTGAGGCCAGCTTGTTGAATGTTGCCATGGCCCGTCCTCCTCATTCGCCTCTGGGAAACACAGGAGGAAACTGCACAAACAGAACCTGTGTGCATCTGAGCAGCTGCATCCTCAGAAAGATCTGGCTAAGGCAGTGACATCATGAAACTGGAATTTCTTTCACTCTGGAGGAAGTGAAAAGAGCTGCAAATGGATCTTTAGGGACTGGTTATTATTCCCTGTTTTAATGGACATTTCTTTCATCTTAAAGTGCATTAAAAAATTGACGTGGCAATATAAATACCACCTTCCCCTCCACCTTTTTTTTTTTAAGCAAGATGTCTCTTGAATTTGTATTTGTTTTGCTACTTAAAACCAAATCTTTAAGGAAAGCCAATGCAAATGCAAGCTCTTCAGTGCTTATGGTCACTCAGTGGACTCCTTAGTTCCCAGCAAGCTCTAGCTGCCCAACTGAACTTCTCTTTGTGGGTTTTCAGAGGGCTGGGGAATGGAAATGGGTTGGTGTGGTTCTCCAGTTTGCTCGTTCTTTGCCGTATGGCAGGCTTTTCACACACAGATGGGCTGCTGAATGTTCTATCATTGCAGACTTGCCTCCAGACCCAGGTATATTTCAAGAGCAGAAACCATTGGCACAATCACCCCTTATTCTGTTTGTGGAAGAAAGTTGCCATCCACACAGAAAATTATAGTTTTGGCCGGGCGTGGTGCCTCACAGCTGTAATTCCAGCACTTTGGGAAGCTGAGGCGGGTGGATCATGAGGTCAGGAGTTTGAGACCAGCCTGGCCAACATGGTGATACCCTGTCTCTGCTAAAGATATAAAAAATTAGCCAGGCGTGGTGGCATGTGTGTGTGATCCCAGCTACTCGGGAGGCTGAGGCAGGAGAATCACTTGAAGCCGGGAGGCGGAGGTTGCAGTGAGCCGAGATCACACCATTGCACTCCAGCCTGGGCAACAGAGCAAGACTCTGTCTCAAAAAAACAACAGAACAAAACAAAAATTATAGTTTCTATACATGTGGGTTTGGAATTTGAACAAGTTATTTTATTCTGGGAATGCTTTATCATCGCCTAAAATGACGACTTCTTTCCTAGTTGTGATTTCTCTTTGCCACGTTACCAGGAGGCACAGAAGGCACAGGGAGGAAAGTTCTGGGTTTTCCTCTTGCGAAACTGAGAAGCCACATTAGGGATGAGGCAGTCATCTGAGCCAGCATCTTGTCTGGAAATAATTATGGCTTGCTCACAAAGCTGTGGAAATCTGCAATGCAGAGAAATACAACATCCTTGCAAACCCAAATAAAGGGCAGCAAATCCTTTTGGACACAGCTGTGCCTAAGACTCCCGGAGTGAAAGGAGCAAAATTGTACCTATGACCCACTGTGTCTATTGGAAACCCTAGAATCAATGTCATGTTCATCACCCTGTTAAATGGCAACAGATTTATGAGGAGAGAAGCTTCCAGAAAGACTGCAGAATTATCTTTTTTGGTGCAGTTTGGGACTTTAATTCTCAAAGGATTAAAACCTGTCCAGGTTCTTCTGGTGTGTTCCTTCCGTCTATACAAGGAGCATGTGATTCTTTAAAAATGTTGACTTTGCAGATCCCAATAGTTAGGTGGGAAATTGAGACACCAGAGAGGCATGAGGTTCCTCATTTAGTCTGGACTCAGTTCCTTTCCTAAATTAAAGGAAATGTACCATGCTGCTGACTTTGTGAGTTTGCTTTCAGTGCATGCTATGTGTGAGGTTGGAGAGAGTATGGGATCAAGCAGTGTTGGGAACAGGCCCCCCCGCAAAATCTGGCCATAAACTGGCCCCGAAATTGGCCATAAACAAAATCTCTGCAGCACTGTGATATGCTCGTGATGGCCATGACGCACATGCTGGAAGGTTGTGGGTTTACCGGAATGGGGGCAAGGAACACCTGGCCCATCCAGGGCAGAAAACCGCTTAAAGGCGTTTTTAAACCACAAACAATAGCATGAGTGATCTGTGCCTTAAGGACATGCTCCTGCTGCAGATTACTAGCCAGAACCCATCCCTTTATTTCGGCCCATCCCTTGTTTCCCATAAGGAATACTTTTAGTTAATCTATAATCTATACAAACAATGTTTATCACTGGCTTGCTGTCAATAAACACGTGGGTAAATCTCTGTTCAAGGCTCTCAGCTCTGAAGGCTGTGAGACCCCTGATTTCCCACTTCACGTGCTGTATTTCTGTGTGTGTGTCTTTAATTCCTCTAGCGCCGCTGGATTAGGGTCTCCCTGACCGAGCTGGTCTCGGCAAAGCAGTGTGACCTGTTTGCAACATCTGACTTTTCCTCTCTATTGAGCCCAGCACAGGGGCCAGCCAGAGCTCACAGTCCCAGCCTAGTAGGGATTGGCTACACAAGTCTTTTGAAGAACAAGCCCAGATGCATATTTATTTTGAGTTGCTCAAGAAACTCGGTTGATAAAATTGCAAGTGTGAGAAGTGAGGCAGGAGAATCTGTAGTTTTATCTCAGTCTTCTCCTGCCACCATGTGTGTTGGAGAAAACAAGTGCACAAGAAACTGGGGCTGGGGGTTCACCAGGGGTGAGGGAATGGGAGTTGGTGTTTAACGGGTACAGAGTTTCCATCTGGAAAGATGAAAAAGTCCTGGAGAGAAATGGTGGTGGTGGCTGCACGACACCGTGAATGTACTCAGTGCCACTGAACCGTCCACTTCCAAATGGTTAAAGGTGGCAAATTTTATGTCCTGTGTATTTTAACATGATGTTTTAAAAACTTAAAAAGTAAGGTAGTGGGAATCTGTAACTCAATTAGGCAAACTCTAAGATGACCCTGCGAGTCCTTCTCCTGGAGCATGTTCTCGAGAATCTCCCCTTGAGTGTGGACAGGACTTGACGGTATTTCACTCCTGTGATTAGGTTACTTATTAGGGAAAGATAAAGGGATTTTGCAGGTATAATGAAGGTCCCTAATCAGTTAACTTGGAGTTAAGCAAAAGGGAGATTTCCCAGGGTGAGCCTGCCCTAACTAGGCCCCTTACCTGGGGGCTTCCTGAGGAGAGATTTGAAGCAGCAGAAACCCCCTCCCTTGTCCCCAAAGATTTGCATGTTATGGAGAGGACCACCGGGCAGGGAGCAGCAGGTTGCCCCAGGAGCTCAGATCCTGCATCCTCCAACCACAAGGACCTGAATTCTACCAACAGCCAGTGAGCTTGGAAGGGGAGTCTGTGCCTCAGAGAGGACTGCAGCCCTGGGCAGCATGACGATTTGAGCCTGGTGAGACCCTGCGGGAGACCCCACTGATGTGTGCTTGGATCCCTGGCCCGTGGGAACTGTGAGTTAGGAAGTCCGGATTGCTGGAAGTGGCTAAGTTTGTGGTCGTTTGTTAGACAGCAGTAGAAGATGACTGTAGCCCTGGTAGTCACGGAGGTGTGTGTGTGTAGCATCTGCTGCAGTATAGGCAGGTATCGTCCATGTAGCCAGTGCGCCTTGGCAGCTGCTCTGCACAGGGGAAAGAGGCCAAAGGTATCCATCCACGGAGGGAAAGCACTGTGTGGGGGACAAGGTGCAGGTGACCTTGTTGTATTTGACTAAATTAATATCAAACTGAGGTGAGCCAGTGGAAGAGCCCCGGGGAAATCAGAGCTGCGTCCTACAAAACACATTCTCCTCTCGTAGGGGACAAAGACATGGGTTAAAAAGCACACTTCAGTGCAGCACACAAACTTCCAAGGGTGGATCCAAAGGGAGAGACCTCTTCTCCTCACACGGCCAGGCATGCAATTTTCATTTTTTGTGTCCATAAAGATGCGTGCTGGCCGGGCGCGGTGGCTCACGCCTGTAATCCCAGCACTTTGGGAGGCCCTGGCGGGCGGATCACCAGATCAGGAGATCAAGACCAGCCTGGCTAACACGGTGAAACCCCATCTCCACTAAAAATACAAAAAATTAGCCAGGCGTGGTGTCGGGCGCCTGTAGTCCCAGCTACTGGGAAGGCTGAGGCAGGAGAATGGCATGAACTCGGGAGGCGGAGCCTGCAGTGAGTGGAGATGGTGCCACTGCACTCCAGCCTGGGGGACAGAGCGAGACTCCGTCTCAAAAAAAAAAAAAAAAAAAAAATGCATGCCAGGGAGGAGGGAGATGGCTGAGTTGTGTGTGCCTGGAGCTGTGAAACACTGAACTGTATGCTAGAAAGCAGTACCAAGTGGATATGGTCAATATCTGCCACCACGGGCAGTCGCGTGGCTTCTCAGTTTCTGCACCTATAAAATGCCAGGATCAAACTGGAGTGCCGGGTGTGGGGATGAGATCCATCCAGGGAGCCGCGGTCCTCTGATCAGAGGCGGGACCGTCACCTCCATCCCAGGGATCTCCCCCAGAACCCAACTTTTCAAGCGTCGAACATCTCTGAGGTGCTCACAGTTGTTTGTTACTAATCACGCAAGGACTGACACAGAGGCTAGGAGAGGGAGGGTGGACTTCGTGTCCCTGTGAAGCCACATCCTTCACATCACCTAACAGGCCCCGCCCGGAGCAGAAGTAAGCGAGTGGGTAAGCGCTGTCGACATGACCAGCCACACCAGTTTCGGGAGCTGGATGTGGGGTGAGTGAGTCCATGGCTTACAAGGGCAAGCGTGCACTGTGCTCCCCTTCATCCCTGTCCTTCCACAATCGATTCTCGGCATGGTAGCCGGGGTGATGGCTTAAAATACAAAGCACATCATGTCACACCCTTCCTTGAAATCCCCCAGTGCCTTCTCACCTCGCCAGGCATAACCAGCAGACTCTCGGCCTGCTCAGCAAACAACGGCCACCCTGACCCTGCTGTGGCTCCCGATGCTTTGTGCTTGCTGCTCCTCTGCCTGGAATCCTCTGCACTGTGTCTCCTCAGCACTGTATCTCCTCACTGAGACTCAGCTCCTCAGGGGGGCCCTCCCTAACCAACCCCTCTAGACAGGCGCCTCCCGCTTCCCCAGGACTCTTCACCCTCTTTGTCACATAAGGCTGAGGAATGGAGGAGACTGGAGAAAACCTTGAGGTATCGAAATGAAATTAGACCTAGAGTTATAAATTCATGAGATGCATATCTGTATCTTACATATACCCAGAGTTAGATAATTGTTATAGATGTATGTGCATGTATGTATATTTATGTATGTTTATATCTGTGTGTGCACATATATACATGCACATACCTGCTATCTCTGTCAGCTGGAAGGGCCTAGAAGCAATGACAGCCTGGCAGGCACAAGCGCAGCCAGCACTCAGGCCTTGGTTGGAGAAATGGCCGATTCCAGCACAGGGGTGAGGAAAGTCCAAGAGAATCTGGGAACGTATTTTTGTGCCAGATAGCAAAGAAGCACCCAAGAATAATAAGAATAATGGGGATATATCAAAAAGAGGCAGGCATTTCACTCCTGTAATTACGTTAGTTATAAGGGAAGGATAAAGGGATTTTGCAGGTATAATTAAAGTCCCTAATCAGTTTACTTGGAGTCAATCAAAAGGGAGAATTCCCAGGATGAGCCTGCCCTAACTAGGCCCTTTAACTGGGGGCTCCAGGGGGCTCTCACAGGCCGATTTTAGAATGATTTCGGCATCAAAATAAATAATTGGATTACAATACATTGTATGAGATAGGAATCCACGAATCCATACTCATAAAAACATAAGTAATTCAATAAATAAACAAATGAGGAGTAGGAAAAGCTTTTCCTTACAGTAGAATGCCAACTAGTAAATGTAGAGGGAACGATGGAAAGATAATCACTCTTAGGCAACAGTAACAGTAGTTGTTGATCCATGTGGGTGTCCCTGGTGGGTGGAGGTTTGATGAGAAACAGGATGTTGGCAAAACATTGAACTACCTTCCTACAAACCACTATCAAGTGCAAGGGGGAAGCAGCAGACACAGCTGGACTGCATGATCAAGGTGAGACCATCTCAGGTAGGACAGGTGGCACCATGCGCCTCCTGGTTTGATGCACTAAGAAGGACACAGCATCTCCTCGGTGACATTACAGCCTTGAGTGCCAGAGGGGTCTCAGCCCAGGGATGAAGGACCTGTGCTCCTGTACCAATGGCACAGAGGCAGAAAAAGACTTGCGGCTGTTCCATATGGGAACAGACTGAGGCGACCAGAAGCTCAGTGCAAGCTGTGCTGTCTCAGAGCCTGCACAGAAAAGGCTGGTGGGCCCTTGATGGAATTTGCACCAGGTCTGTGGATTGGATGGCTGTGCTGTATCCGTGTTCATTTCCTGACTTGGAAAGTCTTGTTTTGGGGTGACAAAGAGTGCCCTTGTTTTTAGGAGGTACACAGTGGGATATTTAGGGATGAGGGCACTGCTATGGTCTAAAGGTTGTGTCTCCCAAAAAGTCATCTGTTGAAACCTAATCACCAAGGTGATGGTATTAGGAGGTGGGGCCTTTGGGAGGTGAGTGGAGCCCTCATGCATGGGATTAGTGCCCTTACACAAGAGGCCTGAAGGAGCTCATTTGCCCCTTCCTCCACATAAGGACACAGGGAGAAGGTGCTGTCTATGAAGAAGAAGGCAAGCCCTCACAAGACACCGAACCTGCTGACACCTTGATCTTGGACTTCCAGCCTCCAGAACTGTGAGAAACACATTTCTGTTGTTTATAACCCAGCCAGGCACAATGTCAGGATATATATAGCCAATATATGTCAGTGTGTATATATATATATATATATATATATATATATATATATATATATATATATATACATATATATATACACAACCTATTGCTTGAGATAGGTGACATATCCTGACTATACACACACACACACACACACACATATATACATACACTGACACACATATATTTGATATATATGTATATGTAGAGAGAGGGTGATGAAGCAATGTAGTGTTATTAACAATTATGAACAACTAACTACACAGTTGAAAACAATATTAACAATTGGGAAGTCTAGGTGAAGGGGAAAGAGAGCTTTTTGTACTGTTCTTACAACTTTTCTATACATTGGTAACCTCTTCTTAATCTACCTTCCAGGGTTTTTGAGACGACCAGATGAAATAATGTTAAATCTCTATTAAAAGATGTTTTAATGCAAACATATATAATTACCTTGATCATGTCTCATTTACTTATTAGCCATCTTCCTGCACGAGACCGTGAGCTCCATGAGAGCAGGGCCCCGCCCTTTACATCCTGCTAGATCTCCCTGCCTGGAACAGTGCCTGGCATAACAAATACCAAAATATATTTCAGTAAAAATACCCAAATATCTGTTGAGTAATAAATGAATCACAGAAATTAGGTCAATTTTACACTTACCACTATTATAATATCATGATGTATATATATGTTAGTAAAGAGAACTTAATCACCTTCAGTCTGCCCCTTAGAAATCTTAAAACCTATTTGGAAATCTACTAGCTTATTGATTTGTTATTAGAGTAATTACTGATATGTAACTAAAATATACTTCCACATAATTAAGTATATTCATTTGCATGATAGAATTTGATCACTTTCTTAATGTAGTGGTTGAAGAGAACTGTCATTTAAACAGTGCAGATAAAGCCCTGAGAAATAAGTATGCATTTCCTATTAGAGAAATGTTCTCCAAGAGACATTTAAAAGGACCTAGGATGAGGACCCAGCATGGCCCTGCGTGGAGCCGGGACTTGGGTTTTGTATGGTTGCATGAACTGCCACTGGCTGTTTCAGAATAAAGTGCTCTACAAAACATGTTTTCTAGCAGATAGTACCTTCTCGTCGTATAAAAGCTTGGGCAAATTTTCAGAGTGGACGCAAAGTCAAGCAGGATCATCAGCAAAGAGAGGGACCATAAACCAAGAAACATTTGTTCTTATCAGAGCCAACTCCGTGTGAATGATATTCCGCAGTTCGTCACTCCAGCTGCTGGAACAGAACGTTCCAGGGAGATGGGATTTGCCCCATTGCTTTACTGGAAACAGTGGGCGGGGGTGCAGATCTGGTTCTTAGGAAAAGAAGACTTTAGCCCTGAAGAGCCAAGATGTAGTCCCAACGCCTCAGAGAATGTGTCTGGCATGAAGTGTAAGTAGCAGATGTAGCTCTTTTATTCCTTTCTAATAACACAGCCTACAGAAATCGTTCTTTCCTTTTTCCTATTCCTTTTCAAGCTGCTTCATGTACCTTCACCATCCCATAAGTCAAAATCTGCTCCTGCGATTCCCTATTTCTTTTTTTCTGTAACTAACTGGGGAAAATCCCTTATCACACTACTTTCCCTTCCTGCCTTTCATCCCTATAATTTCAGAATATGAACTTAAAATAATCTTAGGGAGAAACTGAGAAAGACTAGCAGTATAAAGGATATAAAATGTGGACAGCACATTCAAACACCAAGATTTCAAAGCTAAATAGAACGATGGATCCAGCAGTCTTAAATTCCTGAAGCACGGCATTTCTAACACGATACTGAGTAAAATATCTTTATCTGCGTATCTGGCTCTATTCGGCCTTTTTTCTCTCACTTACATTTTGAATTTCATCCTGTTGAATTTCATATCTCACCCTAGGTGCCTTAAATTCTGTGTGTATGTGCACCACCCACATCACTGCCCAATTTGGGAGCAGTCCTAGTTAACATTTTATTTACTACAGAATCATAAATAGATGTACTATAATATCAAAGGCACTTTCATAAGCCATCTGTTGACAATATTCTAGATCTTCTCTCAAGTCATATCTTATTAAAAGCCTGATTCATACAGAACAGATGTCCAACAGTAAGGAAATGGTTTAGTAAATGATGGTACATCAAGATCATGGAATATTATGCCATCATTAAAGTTATAATTATGAAATCTATTTTGGAACACAAGACTTTATACACTTTTATGAAAAAATACATAAGAAGTAGGTATTCTCTGCTTATAACTATGCTAAATATTGAAGTACTGGAAAAAGTTGAAGGTAATATGAAAAATGGTGAGGAATGTATTGTTTTAAAAATTATTTAATCTTGGCCAGACACAATGGCTCACACCTGTAATCCCAGCACATTGGGAGGCCGAGGCAGGCGAATCACAAGGTCAGGAGATTGAGACCCTCCTGGCTAACATGGTGAAACCTTGTCTCTACTACAAATACAAAAAATTAGCTGGGCGTGGTGGCACACGCCTGTAGTCCCAGCTACTCGGGAGGCTGGGGCAGGAGAATCGCTTGAACCCGGGAGGCAGAGGTTGCAGTGAGCCAAGATCACACCACTGCACTCCAGCCTGGGCAACAGAGTGAGACTTCATCTCAAAAAAAAAAATTATTTAATCTTGATGATACATTATCCTTAAGCAAACAAACAAACAAACAGAAACATAATTTGCAAAATTTCTGAAGGAAAGTGTGACCCATAGGGTGATCTGGAGCTTTCTTGCTTATGCACTAAATGCATTTGGTCATAACCCTGCCTGAGAACACTAGGGAGTTTTCTTCCTCCCTGTTTATATTATTTTAACTCTGTAAAGAGAGCTAAGTATGTCTGATTTGCCCAGAACTGTAAGTGGACTGTCAGTGAATGAAGTAGTTAGAGACACAGTGGGCAAAATTCATTTCTTGATTCAGAGAATTTGTATTGGGACATTCACCCTGAACCAAAATCTGGGGGATACCAAGACAGACACAGTCCCTTCTAGGCAGGAACACACATCTAATCCCAGGTAGACTTGTCAAGCTTACATTGCACCTCTGCAGTTTTTTCATAAAGAAGACATTTAGATTTCAAGAGCTTGATGGACATTTGCTGTGTTTTACCACCTGGTACAGTGACTCCACTTTTCCCCTACTATATATAAGAGGTCTTGGTGGGAGGGTGAATTCAGAGGCCTATCTCCCAAGATAGAAGCAGAAGGGGTCGGGCCATCCTCCTTCCTGGAGGGATATATCCACAGGAGTGGGCATAAGCCCGGAGCCTGGCCCTTCATTTTGCCCATCTGCACTCTGACTTTTGGGCAAGGGCTGGGAGCAAGGGCCAAGGTTACTCTCAGAAGCACAGACAGTCCTGGGGGAGGTCGTTGCTGTGTCATTGGGTTTCACAGCTCCCTCGTCTCTGCTGGTTCCCAAGCTTGGTTCTTCAGTCTTCTATTGATTCCATGAACCACACTTACATCCTTGAATACTCCTCATCCACCCCTCTTCTTTCCAGTCAATTCCTTTCTGCTTATCTTTGCCCGAGTTGTTTTCAGTTGTTTGCGGTCAAGAGCTCAAATAATACAGAAAGGAACATCATCCGCTTGGTTTAACATCTCAGTTAGGAATAAGGCAGACCTAGAGGCAAATCCTGCTTCAATCATTAAGAAATCTGGACGGTTCCTGAAGCTATGAATGCCTCAGTTTCCTCATCTGAAACTGGGAAGAATGACCACTGCCTCCTTAGTGAAGGCTAAATGAGAAAATATAAGCTAAGAATCTGGCAGTGTGCCCTGCTCATACCAGGATATTCCAAAGTACTTTTTAAAAAATTCCCCTTTCCTTCCTCTCTGTCCTTTTCCTCAAATAAATACTTGAGGAAATCTGTTGGCTGGTAGAACTTTAAAACCAAACAAAGGAAATTAGAATCTATAGTTCTTTGCTCCCTAGTTTCTGGTTTTCTCTCCCATAATAAATTCTCAGGATAATCATTGGGATAACATTTCTATCTGTAGAACTGGATAATCGGATTTCAGTAATTCTAAAATCAGCAGACAGTTTGCTAATGGAATAATCTTCATATTTGTTGACAACAGTGAGGAATAAAATAACAATTTTTTGTTGACAATATTAAAAACCGAAGCTGAAAACCCCTTTCTGTTCATTGTTGCCCATAAAGGGAGTTGCAGGGAATTTACTTCATCGTCAAATGATATATATATTTTTTAAACACAACAACAAAGACCCCAAGCTATCTTTCCAAAATGTCAGGGCCAACTGGCCCCACAGTTTAATCCACAGCAGTGGGAGCAGACACAGCAGCAGGCTCCAACCAATTGCTCTAGGGATTGACAAAGTTGACTTCCCATCTCAATACACGACTCACTGCAGGAGCAGCACATTCAGCCTGGTTGGGAAACAACCATCAAGATCTGGTTTTGTGAATGGTAAGGTCAGACCCATGTATAATCAATCCGAATTCGCATAATTCACTTGAGTCTACTGTTCCTCAGTTTACTCATTACATGTGGCTGAACAAGGAGCTGAGACCCTCTAAAATGTATTATTAATTCATCTATGGACCTGGCCAGGCAAAGAGGAGTTGGTTCCTAAAAATGATGATCTTGTTGCTTTGGAGACAGAAGCGCAGTTCACAAAACTTAGAACGCTGTGGTTGAGGCTCACTCTAGGGCCGGCATCTCTTGTTCCACCATACACCTCAGCGGCTGGTGTTTGCAACGTATTCTCCATCCACTAATTGAAATGTTACAAATAATTTAATTCCACAGGATGATTTTATGTAATAAGCACACAATCCAGCTGATCCCATTTTTCACTCTTTGACCTAGACCCTAGAGAAATGTTTCCAAAGAAGGAAAAGGAATTTGGACTCAGTATTCAAACAAGAGTAATTACTCAACAAAGAAGTCAATTAAGCAAATTACCCACGAACTTGGTGGCTTCTAAAGCATAATCATTATTTATGATCCCTCACGTTTTCGCAGGCAAGGAATGTGGGAGTGTCTTGGGGTGTCTCATGAAGCTGGCGGTTACCTGGAGGCTTGGCGAGGCAAAAGGGTCCACTCTGCAGGCCACACCCTCACGATGACGGCCGGCGGGTGCCAGCCGCTGTCTGGAGACCTCAGCTCCTCTCCATGTGCTCTTCTTCACCGTGCTGCTTGTGCCACATGGCATGCTGGCTGTTTTCCCCCGAGCTAGCAAGCCAAGAGTCTAGGTCTGTGGTTCTCAGCTGAGAACAGTTTTGCCCCCTAATATGGTTTGGATCTGTGTGCACGTCCAAATCTCATGACAAATTGTCATCCTGGTGAATTTCTCGTGACTGGTTTAGCACCATCCTTTGGGGCCCTGCTCATGATAGTGAGTTCTCATGAGATCTGGCTTAAAAGTGTGTGGCGTCTTCGGCTGTCTCGCTCCTGCTTTTGCCATGTTTGGTGCCTGCTTCCGCTTTGCTGTCCGCCATGAGTAACAGCTCCCTGAGGCCCCCAGAAGCAGATGCTGCCACGCTCCCTGTTCCTGTGCCTGCAGAACTATGGGCCAAGTGAACCTCTTTTCTTATAAATTACCCAGTCCCAGGTATTTCTTTATAGTAGTGTGAGAATGGACTCTTACACTCCCTCATCCTGAGGACATTTGGCAAAGCCTGGAGACATAATTTTATGTTTACTATTGAGCAAAGGGTGCTACTGACATCTGATGGGTAGGCCAGGTATGCGGCTAAACGTCTTACAATGTGCAGAACAGCCCCCACGATAAATAACTATCTGGTCCAAAGTGTTCAGTGTTAACAGCACTGCTGTTGAAAACCCTGGTTATAGGTGGAAGCTGCAGTGTCATTCATGATCTAGCCTCAGAAGTCACCTTTGGTCACTTTCATCATATACCATCAGCCATCCCTGACCCCATGTGGGTCACAACACAAGGGTGTGACTGCTGGGAAGCAGGAGCTGTCAGGCACTCTTGGAGCTAAGTCTTTGAGTGGGAGGACTACCAGTGCCTTTTTCCCCCTTTCTGCTTATCCCTATTGCCCGAATTTTCTGGAAGAAAAATATACATTTATGAAATTATATATATATATATATGCACACACATATTATATATAATACAAAATAAACATCAAGAACAATGCACTAGGGCTAGGTATGGAGGCTCACACCTGCAATCTCAGTGCTTTGGGAGGCTGAGGTTGAGAGGATTGCTTGAGTCCAGGAGTTGGCAATCAGTCTGGGCAACATAGCAAGATCCTATCTCTAAAAAAAAAATTTTTTTTTTAATTAGCTGGGCATGGTGGTGCATGCCTGTAGTTTTCTGGACTGAGCATCTTGGGGTGGGATCCACTCAGGTGGGAGCATAGCTTGGGCCCAGGAATTCAAGGCTGCAGTGAGCTATGATTGCACCACTGCGCTCCAGCCTGGGCAACAGAGGGAGACGGGGTTTCACCATGTTGGCCAGTCTGGTCTCGAACTCCTGACCTCATGATTCTCCCATCTCGTCCTCCCAAAGTGCTGGGATTACAGGCATGAGCCACCGTGGCTGGCCCACAAACTTCTTAAATGAGAGGTCTGTATTACTCCCTATATGTCTCCACATCTCAACCCCCTTTTTGTCCTCACTGAGGCTAATGGGCTGCTAAAGGCAGTGGTTTTCTGCTCTGATTTGCCAAAGTGTTTCTCAAAGACTGGGCCCCACTCATTTTCAATAGGATCACCTGAAGTTCTTCTGGACTGAGCATCTAAGGGTGGGAACCTGGCAGAATTGTAGATTTTGGGGAGCTCCCCCTGTGACTCATGCCCACCGAAGTTTAGGCATCTTGGGGTGGGGAGCGGCACAGGAGGCTGAGGTGGGAGCATCGCTTGAGCCTAGGAGTTCAAGGCTGCAGTGAGTTATGATGGCGCCACTGCACTCCAGTCTGGGTGACAGAGGGAGACTACCTATTAAAAAGAAGAAGAACAATGCACTAAATTCTCAGCCACGTTGCCCAGGCTGATCTTGGACTCCTGTACTCAAGCAACCCTCCCTCCTCAGCCACCAGCTGGTCCTCAAGTTCATCCTCATAGGTGAGACGCCGCTTCTTCCCATGAGCTGTATTTTGATGCCTCTTTCAAAGGCAGAACTGGATCTGATTTGCAACAGAAGTTCTCATGATGTGAAATTGTACACAATGAAAAAGAAAGAAGAGAAAATTGTCCTGAAGAAAATGACTTAAGTTTGATCTCATTTCCTTTCCCTTTTTTGCTGGTTATTTATAATTGAACTTGAGATTCATCTTGGCTTCTTTGGACTTTCCATCTGAAGGCGGGACTTGAATCTCTACTGAGTGACACAGATCAGAATGATCCATCTGACCCAGTTAATATTTAGCACAAAGAAGGAAATGATTGTGCAAAGACGGAAGGGGGATTGGAAGATCAAAGTATTTAACTCTGTCACTTCGTAGCCTACAGCATCAGATATTATCAGTGGTGTTAGATGGTTGATACAGTCAGAAATATGCTTTCTTGAAAGATATCTGTCTTAAAAAACAAAACTAACGTGTCAAGCAGACCAAGGCCCTTATCTCCTGGTTAAATATTAGCATTTATTGAGTCAGAAGGGTGTAGACTGGGGCTGGTGGGGCCCAGGGGATGCAGTTGTGGAGGAGACTTAAGAGGCAGGAAGACACTGCGCCCGACGTCAGCATTAGCAGAAAACACAGGCTCTTGGCGGATGCCATTCTGGGAAGGAATCCTCAGTAGGCTTGCTGCATCCTCATCCAGTCCCCATGTTTCCCATCAGGCAGGTTCCTGTGTGCAGACTGTGGCCCGTTCTGAATGTCTGTTCCTTTTTCTTTCTGCAAACGGCCTTTTCTAGTGTGGGCTCTACAGCCGGGTCCTTCTGGTAACAGGAGAGAGAGATGTCCCTATCCCGTGGCTCCGATCACAAGACCGCCCTTTCTGCAGGAGGAGATTGCTTTGCACTGGCTTTCAAGGCAGTTCCAGGCCCTCAGTTCCTAGAAACACAGAAGGAACTGATCTCATGCCCATTATCTGGCCCAGGTGAAACCCTGAAGCAGCCCCACTTACCGCTGCGCTGAACACTCTTCAAGGTCACACAAAGGCTCAGTTTGAATGCCATGTCATTCTCTCCCGTTAGCCTCTGGTGGGTCTAGAGCATGGCTTCAGAGAACCTTAGTGTCCTGATTTCTTCCTGTTTGAAGGCTGTCTCATGGTGGAGAGACAGAAGCAAAGCTGTCTTTACATGGAGAGGTGGCATTTAGGCATTTAGAAGCAGTAAAGGTGCATAGAGTGATAGGATGGGAGAGATGTTATAAAAGAGATGTTTGCCCTTCAATGTATTAACATAATGGTAAATTTAAAAGACAGATTTTCAAAATTGCATATAAACTTATATAAAGTTTAATGACAAAAATATATATCAAGTTTACATACACAAACATATCTGGGACAAAAATGGGAGGAAAAAATATCAAAATAATAGTGGTTTATTCTGAGTATTAGGATTATGAGTGATTTGTTTCTTTTCTAAGCATGTGTTGGACTTATAATATGAAAAACAAAACCCTATAAACATCATCTAAAAATTATATGCAAGTTCTAGAGGAGGCAAAGGAGTCCAGGTCAAACCATATTCCAGGAGAGTTAAGTCAGAATTCTCTTCCTCTAAACACCCATTGCATCGCTAATTTCCTGTGCTCCATGAATTGACCTGATTTGCACTCCAGCAGTGCCCTGCCTCTCTCCCTCCTACATGGGGCAGCAAGTCCCCGGCAGCCTGGATGCTATTCAAGCTCCACAAGCCCACAAATAAGCATTTTCATCACACAGATGTTAGGCATGGCCCATTAAAAGAAGTGAGACGATGCCATTGCAATTTAACCCAGGGAAGAAAAAGAACGCGTAAAAAGCCGTATGGTTTCATAGAATAACAAAGAACATCTGTGTCCAGACTCATGGGCTGGGTACATCTCTAAGAACAAAGCCCTCTGCCAGCCTTTCTGGAACAGGATTGCTGCTTTGAGTCAGAATGAAGCCATACGAATCCCTTTTCCACTGCTGAGACAGAACTCTCTTTTCTGACTAACTCCCTCGTTTGGACAGAGATCTCTGTAAGGGTCAACTCGTTGGCTCTGGAGTGTCAGGAGGTGAAGCCACTAGGACTCTGTGAAGCTGGACTTTTCAGGACTAGCCCAGAGCCCTGGGCAGAAGTGCAACTGGCCGAGGGTTCCACAGAGACTCAAGAACAAACTTGAGAACAGGTGTGGGGCCAAGACAGTCGCTGGGCACCATTTGAAACAAGAGGCTACCTGGAAAACATGCCTTCAGCGGTTTGGCGAGGAGAAACCTGTTTGAAAGGGATGGAGTCTTGCCTTTGCCATCACCTGCTCTGGTTCTGTACGGTTTGGTGCTCACTGAGCTCTGTTCTCTTTACATCTCATGCTCACATCTCTTCCTGCTGGTCCAGGAAGCTACTTGCCTCTACAGAGGGTGTCTTCCTGTCTCTCTTTGCTTTGTAAAGTCTCAGAGAGGAGCTATAATGAGTCTTGGCATGGAGAACACAGTGTTTTCTGAACTGTGGCTTGGGATGCATTAGTGGGTTGAGAAATCAGTTTTGTGGGCTGAAGCCAGCATTTAAAATGCAAAGGAAGACGAAGAAACAGAATGGAATAGGAATGAATGAACTGAATTGAAAATATTGGTCTATTGCATATGGTAAGGGTGAGTATGATTTCCTAGAACTTACATGAAATCTGGTTTCAGTTTTATACACGTACCTACAGAGATATGTGTGGGTGGTGACTGTGTACTTGGCTGGGATATAAAATGTATTTAAGAGTCATGGCCAGACAGATTTAGAAGCCAGTGGCTTAGGTAGATGTTGTTTATACGCAACTGTGGTATAAGAAGGGATATATATTTGGTATTTTTCCCCAGTTCCTGGCACAGAGCTTGGAATTTCCTGAGTGATGGGAGTGTTTTTAGTTATTTATAATGAGCCTCTTTCATCACACCTGAGTTTATGCTATGGCGGTGACTCCTATTGGGGGTTAGTTGCCAGAGGAAACAACCATGTGATTAGAAAGGTGGAATTTTCAGCTCCAATCCCGACCTTCAAGGAACAGAGAGGAGCTGGAGATTTTTAATCACCAACAGCCAAGGATTTAATCAATTGTACCCATATAATGAGACCTCCCCAAACCCCTGAACAATGGGGTTTGCTTCTGGGGTGGTGAACACAGAGGTGCTGGGAGTGTGGTGCACCCAGAGAGGGTCAGGAAGCTCCATGCCAGCCCCCCTCATCACTCGCCTTGTGCGTCTCTTTTATTTAGCGGTTCCTCCTTGCACCCTTTACAACAAACTGGTAAATGCAAGTAAAGCGTTTTCTTGAGTTCTGTGAGTGAATTATCAAGGCTGAAGGGGCAGGTCATGGGAACACCCAGATCTGTATTCACCGGAAAGGAGCATCTGAGCCCAGGCCACTCATTTGCAGTGGTAGTGTGAGGCGGGAGCTGTCTAATGGGGCCCTCACCCTGTGGGGTCTCTGCTAACTCCCGGAAGTTGGTTCCAGAAGCAAAGGAAATGCAGCTGCCCCGCTGGCGCTGAAGCATCAATCATGCTATGGAAAAGCCCACACATTTGGTCTCAGAAGTGGAGTCGGAAAAGAGACAACACAGGGCCAAGAAGGAAGAACTGTGGTCCGCCATGACTTTCTCTCTCTCTTCTACACGTAGGCTGGCAATGGCTGTGGCCCAGTCAGCATCTTTCCCTCCATTTTATCTGTGCTGGTAAGCGAGTTTACTCTGCTCCTCCTGCAAGTGAGAAGCTGAGCGTCCATCTATGTGCCGCTTTTCCCTGCTCTTAACCTGCCACTAAATCTGCTCCTTCCTGGCACAGACAAGGAGCATATTATCTGTGTCATTTATTTAGAAATTAACAACATAGGCCGGGTGCGGTGGCTCACACCTGTAATCCCAACACTTTGGGAGGCCAAGGCAGGCGGATCACCTGAGATCAGGAGTTCGAGACCAGCCTGGCCAATATGGCAAAACCCCATCTCCACTAAACATACAAAAATTAGCTGGGCATGGTGGTGTGCACCTGTAATCCCAGCTACTCAGGAGGCTGAGGCAGGAGAATTGCTTGAACCAGGAAGGTGGAGGTTGCAGTGAGCCGAGATCATGCCACTGCACTCCAGCCTGGGCAAAAAGAGCTAAATTCTGTCTAAAAAAAAAGAAAAAGAAAAAGAAATTAACAAAATACTGTCATGATACTGACTTCTTTCTGGGTATGCATCTTCACACTCTAATAAGGGGGAGTGCCACCAAAACCAGGCAGAAGCTATTTTGTCTAGCCTTATATTCGTTTTTTTTTTTTTTGTTTGATACGGAGTCTCGCTCTGTCATCAGGCTAGAGTGCAGTGGCGCGATCTCAGCTCACTGCAACCTCCGCCTCCCTAGTTCAAGTGATTCTTCTGCCTCAGCCTCTTGAGTGGTTGGGACTATAGGCGTGCACCACCATGCCTGGCTAATTTTTGTATTTTTAGTAAAGACAGGATTTCACCATATTGGCTAGGCTGGTCTTGAACTCCTGACCTAGTGATCTGCCTGCCTCAGCCTCCCAAAGTGCTGGGATTACAGGCGTGAGCCACCACGCCCAGCCCGAACCAATGTTAAGAAGCAGTGTTCACCTGTCACATTGCAAAGATGAAAAAAACATACCAAGAGTGGGCATGGATTTGGGGAAAGAAACATTTTTATACACTGCTGATGAGAATATAAATTGGAGCAGTGTTTTTGGAGAGTGTTGAGTTATTGATTGCTATGTAACAAACGAACCCCAAACTCAGTGGCCTAAAACAATATTCAACAACCATTGTGTTCCTTCTTATGATTCTGTGGGTCTGTTGGGCTTAGCTGGGTGGTTCTTCTGCTATGCATGTTGTTGGCTGGGACTGGAGTCATCTGGTGGCTCATCTGGGCTCGCACATCCCAGATGGGTCACATACGTGGCTATACCTGGCAGTTGGCAGTGGCTGTGGGCTTGGAGCTCAGGTTGGGCTCAAGTGAGACATCTACACATAGCCTCTGCATGTAACTTGCCTTTTTCCTGCAAAGTGGCTAGTTTTAAGACAGTGTGTCTTTTTAAGGCACATTTTCCAAGGGGTGGGAAGCGGAAGCTGACAGACCAATTAAAAGCTACATCCGTGGGCACAGCATTGCTTCCACCATATTGCATTGCTGAAAGCAGTCACAAGACCTACCAAAGCAGGTGGAGAAGAGCATGTTTTGACAGGGGAGGAACAAGTCCACATTGCATTGCAGAAGCATGTGTAGGATGAGAGATGTATTGTGATTGTCTTTGGAGAATTTAATATGCTGCAGAAGGTAACTGGTTAATGTTTATTAAAAATCCCTAATATCTCTATATCTTTTGTTCTGAGCAACTCTGCTCCAAAAATTTATTCTAAATACATAGTGATAGATATTTCTAAAGACTTGACTATCAGGTGGACATTTCAATTTCCTTCTTAATAGGCTAAAATTAGAAGGTATTCTCATGTCCCCAAATAGGAAATTGATTAATGGTGGTATACTCTACTATATTGTCTAAAAGTGACCCTAAAAAAATAATACATAGGGCAAATCGTGTCAACACTCATTATTTTAGAGAAATAGTGTACTGGGGCATTTTTCTTGGCAGGGTGGAGCTTGACAGGGATCACTTTACCCGTGTTTCTCAGTATGTTGACTTTGAAGTTTGCTGGGGGGCATGTGGGCAAACTCACATGGGTCAGAGAGCTTTCTCAGAGGAAATGGATCAAAACTTCAACCCTGTCATGGGTCAAATGTTTATTCTAAAATTCAATCAGGTATTCATCATCTAAGCCATGGAGATTGACTGGAACTTATTATAAAGCTTATAGCTTTACCTGGCTTAAGGTCTTCTCCCTCAAGGACAAACTGTGGAGAGGTTAGCCCTGATCTGATAATTGGGAAGGTCTCTTTATTTAATGATTCCATTTTATTCTATTAATGGTCTGAGTATTATAATGGTCTGATTCCATTTTATTAATTACTCTTCTGTTTGCTCACTTAAAAATAATAAAAAAATATTAAAAATAATCTGCCAATATCTCTTGAAGTCCTCAATCTCCTCCTTGAAAATCAAGCTCTTGGGAAAACTGGCTAGCCATATGTAGAAAGCTGAAACTGGATCCCTTCCTTACACCTTATACAAAAATTAATTCAAGATGGATTAAAGACTTACATGTTAGACTTAAAACCATAAAAACCCTAGAAGAAAACCTAGGCAATACCATTCAGGACATAGGCATGGGCAAGGACTTCATGTCTAAAACACCAAAAGCAATGGCAACAAAAGCCAAAATTGACAAATGGGATCTAATTAAACTAAAGAGCTTCTGCACAGCAAAAGAAACTACCATCAGAGTGAACAGGCAACCTACAAAATGGGAGAAAATTTTTGCATTCTACTCATCTGACAAAGGGCTAATATCCAGAATCTACAAAGAACTCAAAGAAATTTACAAGAAAAAAACAAACAACCCCATCAACAAGTGGGCAAAGGATATGAACAGACACTTCTCAAAAGAAGACATTTATGCAGCCAAAAGACACATGAAAAAATGCTCATGATCACTGGCCATCAGAGAACTGCAAATCAAAACCACAATGAGATACCATCTCACACCAGTTAGAATGGCAATCATTAAAAAGTCAGGAAACAATAGATGCTGGAGAGGATGTGGAGAAATAGGAACACTTTTACACTGTTGATGGGACTGTAAACTAGTTCAACCATTGTGGAAGTCAGTATGGCGATTCCTCAGGGGTCTAGAACTAGAAATACCATTTGACCCAGCCATTCCATTACTGGGTATATACCCAAAGGATTATAAATCATGCTGCTATAAAGACACATGCATACGTATGTTTATTGCGGCACTGTTCACAATAGCAAAGACTTGGAACCAACCCAAATGTCCAACAATGATAGACTAGATTAAGAAAATGTGGCATATATACACCATGGAATACTATGCAGCCATAAAAAATGATGAGTTCATGTCCTTTGTAAGGACATGGATGAAGCTGGAAACCATCATTCTCAGCAAACTATCACAAGGACAAAAAACCAAACACCGCATGTTCTCACTCATAGGTGGGAATTGAACAATGAGAACACATGGACACAGGAAAGGGAACATCACACACCGGGGCCTGTTGCGGGGTGGGGGGAGGGGGGAGGGATAGCATTAGGAGATATACCTAATGTTAAATGACGAGTTAATGGGTGCAGCACACCAACATGGCACATGTATACATATGTAAGAAACCTGCGTGCTGTGCACATGTACCCTAAAAGTATAATTTAAAAAAAAAATTTTCAACCAAAAAAAAAAAAAAAAAAGAAAATCAAGCTCTCGTTACTCAGGATACTTTTTGTGGTTTTAAAAATATCAGTTCAAATTTTTTTCATTTATTTATTTTTAAGACAGAGTCTCACACTGTTGCCCAGGCTGGAGTGCAGTGGCACAATCTCGGCTCACTGCAACCTCCGCCTCCGGGGTTCAACGGATTCTTCTGCCTCAGTCTCCTGAGTAGCTGAGACTATAGGCGCGTTCCACCACGCCAGGCTAATTTTTTGTTTTTTTGTTTGTTTATTAGAGATGGGGTTTCACCATGTTAGCCAGGATGGTCTTGATCTCCTGACCTCGTGATTCGCCTGACTCGGCCTCCCAAAGTGCTGGGATTACAGGCGTGAGCCACTGCGCCCGGCCTCAAAATTTTAATTATAGTTTTATATTTTAATGGGTAACACATTTGCATGATTCACAATTCAAAAGGTACAGCTGGATATACTGGGGGGAAGTCTCTTTCTCATGCCTGTCTCCTAGCCATCCTATCCTACTCCCCAGAACCAGACAGTGGCTTCCAGAATCTTATATATCCTTTCAGAGATATTCTAAGCACAATATGAGTGAATATATGTATCATTCTCCCTCTGTCCTCTTTTGCAAATAGTGGCACATTATATGTATTGCTTTTCCTCGCAGACTTTTTTTCCGACTTAAAAACATATCTTGGAGCAGAGCAGCAGTGTGAGGAACTTGGGGAAAGTTCTCTCCCAGAAGGACAGCTATTAAGCTAATCAAAGTTAGCAAAATCTGATCAGCCAAAATCTCTGGAGATTGATCAAAGTGCTTACCACAAAGCTTGTATTCAGCAAACCTATGGAAACACAGTAAGAACAGGGGGAGGCTATCCATTGATCTAGGGCTCCCCCTCATCACCATAGCTTTGTGTTGCAGAGGAGCCCCTTCAAAGAATTTGAAAGCTGAGTGGCAGCTCCTATCTCCCCCAGCTCCTCGGGGTAGAAGAGATATTCCCAGTGGATTCCACAGGCGTTGAATATCGGTAGATCCATTTCCCAGAGCTCTATGCTGCAGAAATACTATGCTGAATGGTGGTGGCAGCCAGGTAGTGGAGCCTGTTTTCCCACCCCTACAGAGAAAGGATCTGGGTGGGACTGGTTAAAAATGCAGTCCCCTATTCCCTCCAGCACTGTGTTGTGGGAGAACTGCTCTGGTGGGCTTGGCAGCTCCCATCTCTTCCATCTTCTGGAGGGGAAAGAGCTATTCCAGATAGATTTGGTAGCTGGTGAATGTTGGTAAATCCTATCCTTCATTCCCCCACCCCGAGCTGTGGGTCACAGAGATATACACTGGGCTGTCATGGCACCAGTTCTCACCTCCCATACACATGCAGCTCCTTCTTGGTAAAGAGGATCCAGGGGGGGCGGCCGGGTGCCCATCTTCTTGCATCTCCAGCTCCTGCTCCATAGTGCAAAGTTTCTGCCAAGGAACGTGTTGGAGCCAGTTTCAAGATTCATCACACACCGTCCTTGCCAAGGGGCTCTACTTTAATTGGATTAGATTGTTGAGCAATTTAAGGCCCCAGGTCATTACTGAAAACAGTAGAACAATCAACTAGCAATTAGTGGAGACTAACAATTGGGTGTGATACCAGTAGAGGCAGACTAGTCAGAAACTCAATGTGGAGATCAAAGAAAGAGACCACTAAAGGGATCTCTGCTAAACCCACAGTCCTCCCTGGTGGTCAGGAGCTCTGTGTGCTTGCCCAAAGCTGAGTCCTCTGAAGAGTGAATGAAGAGGAACTTCTGAGCTACTGTTCCTTGGCTGAACACAGGGCAAACTCACAAACTACCTGAACAGTAAAAGCAGTCTCAAAGCCACATACAGATCCAGTGGTGAAAACCTTACAGGTTCAGGGGGTTAAGTACAACCTCTGACAAATCAGAGACTGACTAACGATCTGAGCTGACCCAGGGGTGACCCACAGAAAACCAGGCTTACAGATAAAATTGAGGGGGAAAGTGTTTGGGCAGAGACATCAGAGGCTGCACAATGGAGGAGAGTAGACTTTACTGAGCTAGTCAAGGCAAGACACTGAACAAATACACAAACAATCCCCACAGGGGGAGAAATCAGTATTTAGAGTTGCTACAATATATTAATTAAAATGTTCAATATTTGATGAAAGCTACCAGACACACAAAAAGACCAGGCACAGTGGCTCATGCCTGCAATCCTAGCACTTTGGGAAGCTGAGATGGGCGGATCACTTGAGGCCAGGAGTCGGAGACCAGCCTGGCCAACATGGCAAAACCCCATCTCTACTAAAAATACCAAAAAAAAAAAGAATGACCTGGGCATGGTGGTGCATGCCTGTAATCCCAGCTCCTCAGGAGGCTGAGGCAGGAGAATTGCTTGAACCCAGGAGGCAGAGGTCGCAATGAGTGGAGATCATGCCACTGCACTCCAGCCTGGGTGACAGAGCAAGACTCTGTCTTAAAAAAAAAAAAAAAAAAAAAAAGACACACAAAGAAACAGGAAAGTGTGACCTATACATAGGAAAGAAAGCAAGTAATAGAAATTGCCCATGAAGTATGCAGACATTGGGCATAACAAAGACTTCAAAGCAATTCTTATAAACATGTTCAAAGAAATAAAGGAGACCATGGCCAAAGAACTAAAGGAGAGTATGATGACAATACCTCACCACATAGAAAATATAAAGAGATCAAAGTTATAAAATTGAATGAAATAAAAATTCTGGAGTTGCAAAGCATGATAGTTGAAATGAAAAATGTACTAGAGAGGCTCAAAAATAGATTTGAGCTGGCAGAAGAAAGTATAAGCAAACCTGAAGACAGATCAATAGAGATTATGAATTGGAGAAACAAAAATAAAAAATAAACAGAGCCTCAGAGCAATGTGGGACACCATTAAGCACACCAACGTATGCATACTGGATGTACCAGAAGGAAAGGAAAGAAAGAAAGGAACAGAAAATGTGTCTGAAGAAATAATGGTTGAAAACTCCCCAAATTCCTTAAAAAGAATTAATCTGTACATCCAAGAAACTCAATTAATTCTAAGTAGAGTTAAAACAGAGCCACACTCTGTTTTATATCATATCATATCATATCATATCAAGATATATCATAATCAAAACATTGAAAGCCAGCAATAAAGAGACAATCTTGAGAGCCTCAAGAGAAAAATGACTCATCATAGGCAAAGGAACTCTAACAAAATTAATTGACTTAATCCCCTATATGCTGATTCCTCATCAAAAGTAATAGAGGCCAGTGATTCAAAGTGATGGGAAAAACAAAAAATCAAACCTGTGATCAAGACTCCTACGTCCAGCAAAACTATCTTTTAAAATTGAAGATTAAATAAAGGCATTCTTAGATAAACTATAAGCTAGGAATTTGTTGCTTTGAAAAAGAAGAACAAAGTTGTAGGACACACACTTCTTTATTTCAAAGCTTAGTATAAAACACCAGTAATCAAGACAGTGTAGTTGTGGCATAAGGATAGCAATATAGATCAATGGAATAGAAATGAGAGTCTAGAAATAAACCTATGTGAAATAAACCCAAATTATTGATAAGGATGCCAAGACCATCCAATGGGGAAAGAAAAGTCTTTTCAACAAATGGTGCTGGAACAACTAGATATCCACATGCAGAGGAATGAGATCAGACAATTACCTCCCACCATATACAAAAATTAACTCAAAATGGATCAAAGACATAAATGTAAAAGGTAAAACTATAAAACTCTTAAAGGAAAATAGGAGTATATTCTCCATGACCTGGAGCTAGGCAATAGTTTCTTAGATATGATACCAAATGCACAAGTGACAAAAGAAAAAAAATATATATATATAGGATTACATTAAAATTAAAAACTTCTGTGCTCATAGAATGCCATGAAGAAAAAGACAACACATAGAATGTGAGAATATTTGTGAATCATATATTTGATATGGCACTTGTATCTATAATATATAAAGAAATTTTATGAGTCAATAATAAAAGCACAAGTAATCTCATTAAAAAGTGGACAAAGGATATAAATAAAAATTTCTCCAAAGAAGATATACAAATGGTCAATAAGCATATTGAAAGATGCTCACCATCAGTAACCATCAGGAAAATGCAAATCAAAACCACAACAAGATACCACTTCACACCCACAAGGATGGCTATAATAAAAAAGATGGATAATAATAATTTGTGTTGGTGAATTAGTAGAATTCAGGAAGCAGAGAATTTGAAAGCCTCATACACTACTGGTGAGGACGCCGAGAATTTGAAACCCTCAAACGATAATACTAGAAATGTAAAATAGAGCAGCTGCTTTGGAAAACACACTTGCAATTCCTCAAAAGGTTACACATAGAGTTACCATATGACCCAGCAATTCCACTCCTAGGGATATACCCAAGAGAAATGAAATATTTGTGTACAAAAACTTGTACACAAATCTTCATTAGTGGCATTATTCATAAAAGCCAAAAATTGGAAGCAACCCAAATGTCCTATAACTAGTGAACGACAGATAAACAAAATGTGTTGTATCTACTAGAATGTTATCTGGCCATGAAAGGGAATGAAACCCTGATACATGCTACCATATGGGTAAACATGAAAATGTCATGTTAAGTGACAGAAACCAGAAATTAAAGGCCACATAGTAAATGATTCCATTAATGTGAAATGGTGAGAATAAGCAAATCTACAGAAACAAAATAATTACTGGTTTCCTAGAGGTGGGGAGGAGAGTGAGAATGGGGAATATCTGCTGATGGGTAGAGGGTTTGTTTTTGTAGTGATAAAAATGTTCCAAAATTAGATTGTGGTAATGTCTGCACAACTTTGTGAATATACTAACAACCATTGAACTATGTACTTTGGATGTGTTCTCTGGCATGTGAAATATGTCTCAGTTAATACCTATATATTAATTATATACAGATGGGATCGCTCATGAGACGAGTTGAGTTGCCGGCTGGGGCTGCAGTCATCTGAAAGCTTGATGGGGCTGGAGGATCTGATTCCAGGACCGGTGCCCAGTTTTGTTTGGCTGGTAGCACGTAGCCTTTGTTCCTTGTTCCTTGCCAGGTGGCCCTTTCCATGAGACTGCCTGAGTGTTCTCATGACAGGGAAGCTGGCTTGCTCCAGAATGCGTGATCGAAGAGGGCAAGGTGGCACATGGAAGGTACAATGCCTTTCATGACCTTGTATCATATGTTACACGCTGTCATCCCATCCAAGTCCTAGTGATTACAGAGGGCACGAAACCAACAAAGAATCACCGCGGGCCCTCTTGGAGGCTGGTTCCCACAAGTGGGGTTAAATCCTGCTGCTTTCTTAGTGACTTCAGTCTCTCCAGCTCATCAGTCATAACCACTTTGTAACACTGCCCTAACTAAATACATTCAGTTCTATGGTGATCCTCGAAGCCTGTGAAGTTTCTCCTGGAGATCCCTGGTGATCTCCATGGTGATCCCTGGAGCCGTTCAAGTTTCTCCTGGAGATTGAAATGTGTGTGTGTGTGTATACATACATATATACATGCACATATTTATATATATTCATATGCACATTCATATTCATATACACATTCATATACGTACACACATACATATATAATCATGTTCATATACATATACACATATTGTTTCTCAAAAAGTCTCACTTATTGGTTTGAAGGCAATAAATTCTAGAAAAATAAATTTCCAGCATGAGTTAGGTATGAGAAAAATCTAATTTTTCTTTTTCTTTGTAATATTATTTACTACGACATTTACTTGGCAAAAATACATGAGTCTGTAGGAAATGCTTTTCCCTGCCGCAATCCTCCAGCTAAGAACATAAAACCCCTGTCTCTCATTCTGAGGAATCAGGAAAAATACAAATAAGATCCTGATCCCCAAGCCCCCCAGATCAATATAGTGGCACCTGCTTGTGTCAGGCTAGTTAGGGGTCTGTCAGTCTATCAGTATTTTCTGAAGTAGCTTAATTAATTGTGGTTTTTTGAGAACATGGGAGATTTTGTGATGTTCCTGAGAGCTCATCTCTATGTGGGGTTTTTCCACAATAACAATATAGGAAGATGTTCAGAGTGGGCAGTCTTCAAGCCAACGTTATTTTGCCTTCATTGCATAAGGATTGTCTTGTCCATCCCGCAAAAGCAAAAGCAGCTGAAAACAAAGACTTTCTAGTTGGCAAAGGGAGGGAACACAGCAGTACCCAATAGTGAATGCAGGCATTAGGAGACCAGCGTAGGACCCCTTAACAGGTGCGGCCTCAGGACTGCAGGTGATGGGCTCCCTTGGTCGCTGATGTCAACACGAGACTTTTATTCTCCTCATGCATTTCATGGGTCTCACCCAATCACGTGAGGAACACCCAGTGTTCCAGTGCAGTGCCCTGAGAAGAGGAGGAGGGCAGGAGGGAGCGTGGGCATCAAGTTCTCAGGTCCAATGCCCTTATTTGCTAACCAGCTTTGTGACCTTGGGCAAGACACTTCCCTGCCAGGGGCCTCACTTCTATTCTGTTAAATTAAAAAGCTGGACTCATTCAGGGATTTCCAGATGTTGAGATGCCAGTGATAACAGGAACTTCCAGGGGTGATCATTTTTTACTATGGCCAAATAAAATTATTAAAGAAAAAACGCTTAGCATCTAAAATAACTATAATTTCATTATAAGAAAACTTTAGTACCAAATAAAAATACATAAAAATGAGAAAACACAACATAAATTTTATAACCTTAAATGGGAAAAAAACCCTTAGTTTTATAAAAACTTATCTCATCATTCTTCTTGTTCTCATTTCTCTAGAGACCTTTGAAAATGCTACAGAGCAGCATTTGGGAACTCTGGGGATGGCTCTCAGGGCCTCTTGTGCTCTGACATCCTGGGACTCTCTGGTTCATTCAGCTGTCAGCTCACACCAGATGCTAATGGTGCCAGGCATTATTTGTCCAGGTTTTTCCATTTTATTTGGAAACTACTCAAGGTAGAAATAGCTTTTCAAATCTGTACCAAAAGTACCCTTTTGCCCAATGATATGCCTCACCAGCACTATTCCCTGCTCAATGTTGCCTGGTGCTGGCGTTGGGGCCCCCTGTCGATAACTGACCTCCTCCTTGCTGAAAATCCTCCTGGGGGCTCCATGACCCCTGCAGCCATTAGGGTAGTGTGGAGGTCCTCCAAAAAAAAAATTCCTGTTAACTCCATGAGGATGGCTTCAATCCCACAAATTAAGGGCCCGGTCTCGCAAGACTGCACCTGCTTCATACACCAATTGTGTCTGAGCCTCCTGTACTTCTGATCAACTGGCTATAAATTGGGAGTTTCCATGACCCTACTTTCTAGAGCAGCTCTCAGAACTCAGGGAAACAACTTACATTTCCTGGTTTATTTTAATGAATATTACAAAGGATATAGATGAAGAGGTGCATAGGGCAAGGTCCAGAAGGGTCCTGAGTGTAGAAGCTTTGATCCTTTGTGGAGTTAAGGTACACCACCCTCCCTGCACAAAGATGCATTCGCTACGCAGAAGCTCATCATATCTTGTTCAAGAGTTTTTGAAGAGTGTGCTGGGCGCAGTGGCTCACACCTGTAATCCTAGCGCTTTGGGAGGCCGAGGCGGGTGGATCACGAGGTCAGGAGATTGAGACCATCCTGGCTCACACGGTGAAACCCTGTGTCTACTAAAAATACAAAAAATTAGCTGGGCGTGGTGGCGGGCTCCCATAGTCCCAGCTACTCAGGAGGCTGAGGCAGGAGAATGGCATGAACCCGGGAGATGGAGCTTGTAGTGAGCCCCCATCGCGCCACTGCACTCCAACCTGGGCGACAGAGTGAGACACTGTCTCAAAAAAAAAAAAAAAAGAGTTTTTGCAGAGTGTAACCTCCAGACTCCCACTCTCTCCTCCAGTTCCCCAAAGGTAACTGTCTTGGAGGTTGGTGGGTGGGGCTGAAAGTTCCAGTCCTCTAGTCACTGTTCTTCTGGTGAGCATCCCCATTCTGAAGCTAACTAGGGGCCCCACCCGAGGTCACCTCATTAGAGTAAACACAGATGTCATTGGAAGGGGTTTGTTATGAATATCAAAGATACTCCTATCACTCAGGAAAATTCCAAGGGGTTTAGGAGCTCTGTACCAGGAACCTGGGACAAAGACCAAATATAGTTATTTTTATACAACAAGTTCCCACTCCTAACATTGTGTGACCCCGTTTCAGTGACTTAGGCCCACTGAGATTCAATTTCTTCATCAGACAAATGGTGCCAACAATCTCAGGGGGTTGCGCTGATGACTGGTGAAATATGGCACGTCAAGTAATCTGGCACACCTGGGAGTCTGAGGCTGCACTTGACCCCTTCCCCCCCTGGGGTCCATCTGTGACAGAGGCTGCTGGCTTGTCCCAGGCACATTTGGTCACCCTGTCTCTTGCTGTGCATGCAAGGCAGGCCAGGTACCCACCATGGCTGCAATGATAGGGAATTCTTAGAAAAATTTCAGAAGGTTGTTGTGTGTTGGTTATTTCTCCTTGCTTTCAGCAGAGACCTGAGTGACATGCATGCAGGCATGAGCTAACCTGTCTGCCAGCAGTGCTGGGAGAGGCAGCCTTGCCCAGCAAGGGGTCCTCACCTACAGACTTCAGTCCAAGTCTGGAGCCCTGCATGACATAAAAAACCAAATGTTTCATTACGCCCAACTGAAGTTACCATTAGTGGCTTCAAAGCTACAGCCTCAGCAGGAGATAAGATTGATGCTGGGTGCCATATTGTTTTAAGGTATCCCTCATTAAATTTAGGGAGTGGGGTGGAGAGAGTTCAGAAGCCAGCAAGTAAAAACGAGAATTTCATACTTAACATCATGTCTAGAAAATAACTTTGGCTGGGATTAATTCATTGCACATGGAACTGACTAGAAATCCATCTAAGTTTTTGAGAGGATTGAATTATCAAAAAAACCCATTAGCCTAGACTGAAAAACCTATGAAAGCAATCTCTGGTTCCCAAATCTGCATCAGCAGGAAGCAGGCAGCAAAAGATCTGTAGCTCTGTCAAATGGGGCTTGGATGTGGTCATGGAGGACCAGGAGGGTAAAGCCAGAGGGTATGCGGGACAATGAACTGGGTAGTTCATCCCAGACAGTGGACCCAGGGCAACCAAGGGATGATACCTCCAAGGCAGACAGAGTCTTTGCAATACCTCCCAGTAGAATTTGATAGTGGCCAGAGAAGTGGCTCTTGTTGGTGCTTTGCATTCCCTTTTCCTAATGTTTGTATTTGTTTCACCATTGCATATCAGGTATGTGAGAGGACGGATTGCTTATTCTTTAGTTTATAAGTAGCTAGATGACAAAGATCCACATTCAGACTTGAAGGAGAGGCCTGTACATCACCCCAGATATAACTACTGGGCCCTTGTGGTGGTCTTCTTTGCTTTAGGACTGAATGTGCTATGTGTGAGGAAAGGATACACTTGGATATTTTTGTAGTGAAAGGGATAGACTACATCACAAACTGTATTTATCCCCTGATTTCTGCTCTCCATTTTTTCCCATAGTAATAGAACTTGGCTTCCCAGATAAGGACTATATCTCCCAGCTTCCCACGCAACCAGGTGTGGCCAGGAAACCAAGCTCCGGCAACCACTACAGTGTTTGTTGGCTTACAGGACTCTTCCTGGAGAGACAGCTGTTTTAAGTCTTTTGAACTTTCTTTCTCCCCTTACCTTCTGTTTTCCAGGATGTAGATGTGATGGTTAAAGATGCAGCTGCCATCTTGGATTATGAAGTAACCATGGATATGGAAGACACATATGATGAAACAAGGTAGAAGCAGCCTGGGTCCTTGATGTTACGGCCAACTTACCTCTAGACTTCTTTGAAGCAGAGAAATAGGCTTGCTTAAGCTACAGGTACTTTGTGTATTTTGTAATGTGCAGTTGAACCTAACTCTAAGTAACACCAAAACAATTAAGAAATAAGGCAGGATTAGATTGTAGTCAGCATACCAACTTTTTTTTTGAGACAAAGGCTTGCTCTGTAGCCCAGGCTGGAGTGCAGTGGCATGATCTTGGCTCACTGCAACCTCCGTCCCCCACGTTCAAGCGATTCTTCTGCCTCAGCCTCCTGAGTAGCTGGGATTACAGGTGCCCGCCACCGTGCCCAGCTAATTTTTTTGTATTTTTAGTAGAGACAGGGTTTCACCATATTGGTCAGGCTGATCTTGAACTCCTGACCTCAGGTGATCCACTTGCCTCAGCCTCCCAAAGTGCTGGGATTTTTACAGGCGTGAGCCACCGCGCCCGGCAGCATACTAACTTTTAAATGAAAACTAGATTGGAGAATATGGCTTAGACCAACCAAAGATGTGGGGTTCTACTATCAGCACCCTCAAGTTTAGGTCTTGATCTGCTATGTTGGAAGGGCAGACTAAATAGCAGACATCCAGCCAGCCAGTTTCCAGAAACCTTCGTGTTCCTGTGGCTCACCTGGGGATCTTACTGGAATACACATTGATTCAGTAGGTCTGGGGTGGGGCCTGAGATTCTGCTTTTCTATCTGCGTTTCTAACAAGCTCCCAAGTGCCGATGCTGCTGGTCCAAGGGTCTCACTTCAGGTAGGAAGAATCTGCTTCACACCCTAAGGAAGTGTTCAGAGCCAAGAGCCTGTCCTGGGCCCTGACCCTACTTGCACCGAAACTCAGGGGGAGGAGTTCATAAGAGGTGGAAAAGGCAGCCATAGAGCGTTTGTTCTCCAACCAAATAGCTGGGGAGCTTCAAAACACTGATGTCCACTTCTGACCCTGAGGTCTGGCTCTGGGTGTGACCTTTGAATTGGGAAGTTTAAAAGCTTCCCTGATGACCCTAAGGGACAGCCATTGGGACCCACTGTCCTAGAAGGCTAATGTTTCGGTGGAAGTTCTTGCTTATGCACTGAGGCAAGAACTCTAAGAAATGTCCCTCCTATACTCAGGGCTGGGACTGGGGTAACGTGAGTGAGGCACCCAACTTGGGCATTAAGGTTAAGGAGGAGGAGATCCCCAAATACTCAGTAACCAAATAATAAATAATATTTGAATTATATAAATAAATGTATAAATATATAAAAAATATATATAAAATATATATAAATATATATTAAACATATAAATGTATATATAAATATATATAAATAAATGTATAAATATATATAAATAAATATATATACACATATATATATTTTTTTGAGATGGAGTTTCACTCTTTCACCCAGCCTGGAGTGAAGTGGGGCAATCTCGGCTCACTGCAACTTCTGCCTCCCAGGTTCAAGCAATTCTCCTGCCTCAGCCTCCCAAGTAACTGGGATTACAGGCACATTTTTGTATTTTTAGTAGAGACAGGGTTTCACTATGTTGGCCAGGCTGGTCCCGAACTCTTGGCCTCAGGTGATCCACCCACCTCGGCCTCCCAAAGTGCTAGGATTACAAGCACGAGCCACCACACCCAGCCTGAATACAGTATTTTTAAAAATCAAAATTAACAGAAATAATCCACAATGAATAAAATACAAACATTTTCAATGAAGACAGGATCTGTAACTGTGCCCTGTGGAGTCATATTGGAGCAAAAGGAAAATCAATGATACTGACCCTGCAGGCTACTTGCATTAGCTCACTGTCCTCCTAACTTCTGGGCTAAACAACCCAGCTAAAGCCCACTAGAGGGGGGCTGCTCCCCAACCTTTGCTAGCCCCCTCCTGCTGGCAACTGCTGATCCTGGGACCAGTGATGGGCAGGTCCACCTTTGCCCTCAAATGGTTCTGAACTAGGTCATTGCAGTCCTTTAAATAAATTAACCAAAACCATAATAATAACAACAGAAACATTTATTAAGAGCTAAGCGTTTTACAAATATTAATTCACTTAATACTCACATCAATCTTATAAAGTAAGTGCTCTTGTTATTTCCTTTTACAGGTGACCAAACTGAGGCATGGGGGTTTAATAAGCTTACCCAAAACTACACAGCAAGGAGGAGGCTGTGTCGGGAATCAAACTCAGTCACTGTGGCCCCCAAGTCCATGCTCATAACCACCAGGTAAAAAATGTGCCTCCTATTCTAATTTCTGTCTGACAGTGGGCCCAGTCATGGTTTCAATACAGCTCAGCAGAGCAATGCAGCAAATCCAGGTGGCAACACTAAAATACTCAGAAAAGACCAACCAAGCAACCAAAGCATAACATCAGCAATAGCACAACCAATGTGAATCATGAGAACCCTCTGTCTTTATTAAATTTGGGGGAAGAAATCAAGGTCACGAAATCAAGTGACTGGTGATGGGGCCTAGAAATGAGTGTCTCCCCCCACCCCCGGTTTCCGCTCTGGCAGGCGGGTGTTAGCGGATGGTGTACTTGTCCCACTTCTTCTCGGGGTCATAGGCCTCCCAGCGGCTGGCGGGGAAGATGTGCTTGTTCTTCTCGTACCAGCTGCGCAGCACCACCTTGCCCGCGTGCGACTCGTCCTTCTCCATGGTGGCGTCGCTGAGCAGGCGCACGTCATCGTGCACATCGAAGCTGAAGAGCGGCCCGCTCTTGCCCCTCGCCCTGGCGATGATGAAGTCGTAGAAGGTGTGGTAGTGCGGCAGGATGAGGTCCTCCTTGATGAACATGAGCTGCTCCACGCCGGCGGAGCGCAGCTCCAGGAAGTCCTTGCGCAGCCCCTGCAGCGCCTTCTTCAGGAACTGCTGCACCGTGTTGCCCTTGCGCACCCGCACCGTGCGCCGGTGGCCCGAGCCGTCCCAGTAGCTGAAGGTGACCTCCATCTCCTCGTCCTTCACTTTCTCGCGCTGCGCCTCCCACTCTTGGCGCAGCTCCTCTCGGAGCCGGTTCTCCTCCTCCTCGCGGTCGCGGTCTGGCAGGAAGCTGGTGTCCACGTCGGGGTTCTTGCCCAGGTTTCCGGCGCGCCTGGCCTCGGCCGCGTCGGCCTGGTCATCGAGGTCGTCTAGTGCAAAGGACAGGCAGGAGATCTTACGCTTGCGCTCGCGCCGCTGCTCCTGCTCCCGCTGCCGCTCCTGCTGCAGCCGCTGCTCCTCCAGGTGCTGGCGCTTGGCCAGCTGCCGCTCGCGCTCCCTGACCAGGGCCTCCTGCCGGGCCTTCATGTCGTTCAGGGTCACCAGGCCCACCGTGCTGGACTTCAGCTCGGCCTCCACGGCGTCGTAATGCGCCGAGAACCTCTTGTCCACCTGCGACTTGAGGATGGTCTCCTCGGCGATGCGCTGCTTCAGCACCTCCATCTGCTCCCGCTGCCTTTCGCGCTTCTTGAGGAGGTGCATGGCACGGCCTGCCTCGCGCATGGTGCCCTTGTACTGCGCCATGGCCCGCGCCTACCCGATGGGCTCTGCAGCAAAGAGGAAAAACGCGGCAGGTAGAGGGGGGCCCACGCAACGGCGGGGAATGCTCAGCTCTGCGCCTCCTCACAGGGCTTTCGGCAGTGATGGAAGCGTTCAGGGGCTGGGCCGACCTGCTAGGGTAACCACCAACCTGACAGTGTCACCAGGCACCAATTTCCAGCATTTTATTTGACCTCAATAAATGCAAATGCGAACGGCCCCACGTAACGGGTGGCTGCCATGCCTGAGCGCAGCGCTGAATTTGGGGAGCTGCATACAGAGAGGGTTGGGCTACTGAGCGGACCCTTACCTGCCCAAGCACCCTGTCGAGCGGAGACACGCGGGAGCTGACCTCCACGAGAACCACCCACGAGCAGAGGCCCACTCGCCCCGGGCTCTCGCGACAGCCGTGGACACAGGAAGTGGAGGCGGTGCGCCCCCTGGCGGGGAGGCGGGCCCTGAGGAGAGTGCCAGGCTCCTGGTAGGGCGGCTGCGGAAACAGGAAGTGGAGGTGGATCGCCCCCTGGCGGGGAGGCGGGCCCTGGGAAGAGCTCCGGGCTCCTGGTAGGGGCGGTGCTCCTGTGGGGCGGGCCAGCGCGGGGAGGATCCTGGAGGAGGCGCTTCTGGCCCTGCCCAGCCGTGGCTGGCCGGGGCTCCTGTTTTCACGCTGTGGGCAGGGCGGGCCCCCACCTGCTGTGCGTGCGTGCTGAGCCTTCTCGTGCCCAACTGTAAACACGCAGAAGCAATGTGGGCGCAGCGCAAGCTGCTGTGGCCACCCAGAGAGCCTTGCAACACGGCCCTGCTCTCCAACCCTCCTCCTCCCGCCTCTGATGCTACCCCGCTGTGGCGTCTCGTGAACATTACCTGCGCACCACTGCCTGTAATTCTTTCTTATGGCCCCAACACAACCATTCTTTGATAATAGAACCCTACTCGCCCCCCAGTTTCGTGACAAAACCTGCACTCAGCTTGTTTGACCTCTTCTATACAGCAGTTTCCCCCGGGTTCTAAGCTCTAATAACCATGGGACACTGAGTTAAAGTGTAGCAGTGTCTTTACTGTGAGCCTCTAACATGCCAGTTTCCACTGTAACTCTCCAAGAGCAGGGCAGACCAGTTCATGTTTCGTGACCGTTTCTCCCCTGCAGGAGATCTGGTAACACTCGCCGAAACCAGTGCTTCCTGGGACCTAGTTTGGAAAAGCTGGTTGTGAAATACATACTGCGGTTCAGCCTCCTCCCGCCTAAGAGCAACAATGCCTGTGAGCATAACCTTACCAAGAAGCGTGAATCATATGATAATTACATATGGCACCCACATATCCAGAGGAGAACAGCACGGTGTGAGCCCTCATCAAATTGTCCAAGCCAGAAACCTAGGCCTTTTCCTGGAATGACGTTCCTCCACAGGTAATCAATTACAGAAGAGCCTTTCACACTTTCCTTTTTCTCCCATTCCCCACCACTTGCCTTAATCTAGGAAATTAGCATTTTTTTTAATCTAAAGCCTTCTCATTGTTGCCCCATCACCAGAATACAAGAATATCTTATTTTATTGAGCTCTGGGATACTGTGTGTTTTGTTTTTGTTTTTACAAATTGAAGATTTGTGGCAACACAGCGTCAAGCGCCTACTGGCTCCATTTTTCCAGCAGCATGTGCTCACTTCGTGTTCCTGTGTCACATTTTGGTAATTCTTGCAATATTTCAGACTTTTTCATTGTGATATCTGCTATGGTGATCTGTGATCATCGTTCTGTGAGGTTATTGTAATTGTTTGGGGGCACTCCGAAGTGTGCAGTAGAAGACAAAGACGTTTATTGATTTAACTGATAAATGTTATGTATGTTCTGACTGCTCCACTGACTGGCTGTTCCTTCATCTCTCTTCCTGTCCCTAGGCTTCCCTAGTGCCTGAGACA